>NT_187380.1:0-172810 GCF_000001405.40 Homo sapiens
GATCTGCTGTGGTAGAAATAATTTATTAAAAATTCTGTTTACATTTATCTTATCTCATCAATTTTAGTAGGTATTTTTACATTATATATTAGAAAAATTGTGTACATATAAATAAACAAATATAGTACTGAAGTTTACTTGCTCAAATATTATTACTTATAGAGATGTGCATCCAAAAATGTTTAGAAACTACTGACAAACTATAAGTAAATAACCTGTCAAAGAGTTCTCAGAATCCCTCTAAGATTGTAACTGAGTATGCCTGTAGCATAATCCTTATTAATTTTGCTAGAAAACTCAGTTATGTTCAAATATAAATAAATATACTTATGTTTAAATACAGATACATCAATAAATGCAATGACTGTCATTTCATTCCTTCGTAAAGCCTTTCATTCTCATCTCTTCCTTCTCTTTGCTGATCTTCAAATTCTGAAGCTTCTTTAATGGGATTCCTGTTAGCAAGTTCTCTCCTTTCTGTGTCCTCCATACACAAATGTCTGTGGTTTCTTGATAATTATATTCCATGAACATATTAATCATACCTTTGCTCCTAATTTTATATACAAGTTGGAATCCAGACTAAGCTTTTTTATTTAAAAAAATTACAATCTCAAATCAATAAATGCTTCTGCCATATTTTTCTCTTTCATTTAAGCATATTGCTATAATTACACTTACTGTTCTTTTCTCACTAATTTATCACTCTTCTTCTTCCTTTCTTTATTATCCATGTAAATTTTAACCTTTCTAAGATAAACTGATTTGTTTTTTTGCCGTGTAGTAAATGATCCTCCTACTTCTAGTCAAATTCTCCACAGCATCTATCAGAGTCTAGTTGTTACTAAACAATGGTTGCAGTTTTGTGCTGTGGTGACTTACCAGAAAGAACGATGATTCCTAGTGAAGTTCATCACTCCCAGTGCATGAGGTAAGAGTTACATTTCAGCAAATGTGGACCTAAAAACAAAAGGTGAACCACTTCATCAGATGCTTAATAATAAAATTCAATGCAATTTGCTCACAGATGTACTTTTTCAGCTAAACTGGGTCTCAGGATCCACATGTAGTTCCTCAGCGCTGTAGCGCAGCTCTGATTTGTGCACATATGTGCTCACGTTAACAACATCATACTTTGGAGGTACTTAACATAAAAGAGGAAATAGTTCTTTAGAAGATAAAACTCTCAGTGTAGGACATCTGATTTTTAATATTTTCTTTTCTTGTTAAGTCCTAAAACCATCAAATGATTGCAGTTCTCAATTTGCTTATAGTGAGGCTAGAAGATGATATGAGGTCTAAGCAATATTCTTAAAGGAAATTTGGACCTCTGCTACATTACATCATGCTCACACATCACTTTAGGAAAAGTTAAAAGAGTTATAACAAAAATATTTTATACTTTGATAAACATAAATTTTCAGAACTGAATTATAACTATTGCATTCCAAATGAATTTTCTGTATACATTACTGATTTTAACACCAAGGTCATGGTCATTTTAATGAAAATAAGTAAATAAATAAACACTAGCAGAAAAATATGGTCAGAAAAAAGGAGAATAAAACCTGCATCTGAATTTCAGTTGATAATGGGCTATTTAATAACTACCAGTACACAGCTCTGCAGGGAAAAAGGCAATAATTCATGTTAGGTATATCCAGTAACTAATGATAATCAACATGCTTTAAGGAAAATGAAGATAATATTTCTTTATGGAAAAGAGGTAAACGAACTTCTTTATATAATATGTTTAAAATTCTCTTTTTAGTATTCAGATTTTAATGAACTGCAGATCACTGCAATTCTTCATGTTAAATCACATCTGGGATTGTTCCTTAATCAAGTAAATTGGGTTAAAATATTGCATTTTTATTGTTAGCTTAATAGCTTAAAGAGATATTAAACATTTAATTATTAACCTTGACATGAAAGAATTGGAGAGATTTCTTAGATGATTTAAGGATTTGAAAGTTCTCTCTTCTGAGTGAAGTTTATATGTTGGGATAAAGCAAATCTAATGAGCTGTCTTGAAATGGGCATCTGACTAATTGAAAGAGACTAATAATATAGCATACATATATATCCAATGTTACTTAAGGAAATCATTCATAGAAGAATAGATGTTTTATTTTAAAAATCAACTAATGGATGTTAAATATTAATAAACTCATTATAACTGAATAACAGATAGGTTAGCCTAGTAATTTACTCATTCAAAAAATATTTACTGTACATTCATGATGTGGAAAGCAGTATTCTAGGCACTAGCAAGACAGCAGGGAATTGGTTCTTATCAAACTTATATTCTACTAGAAATAGATGCATATGAATAGAGTTTTCAGAAGAGAAATTAAAGGTTGCAAGAAATATAAAGAATATAAAGAGTCACATATTAATAGGCAATATAGGCTATGGTATGCTGACAAATGTTTAATAACCAGCTCTCTAAAAGGAACAAAGCAAGCCGAGTTTTTGCCATTTTCTGTGATGAAAACATTCCCAACATGACTAATTTAAATATACTAATATGACATCACTCAATACATAGTTGGAAAGAGGTATACCATAAGCCCTAGTGAGCTGTTATAAGACAACATTGGCACACACACTATGACAAGATTACTTTAAGTTGGATACTCAGAAAAGGCCTCTCTGGGAAAGTGACACTTAAACTAAGATCTGAAAAACCAGAAAAAGTCGTGTGTGAAATCTTGAGGCATTACACCCTGAAGAGGGATAACAGCTAAAGTTCCCAAACCAGTGCAAGCCTGGATTGTTGGAAGAACAAGAAGGCCAATAAGTCTGGGGTGTACTACATAAAAGGAGGATATACAATGAGATTAGAAAAACAGTCAAAGCTTTTCATGCAGAACTTCATAATATAGAGTATGAAATTTGGCAAAGATGTCACTGGAAGGTTTGTGAATCATTTTAATTGTATTGATTAAAACTTTTGCATTTACTCTATGCTGTCTATAGTAAAGCAAAAAGCTATTACAGAAGGAGGAACAGACCTTGGCTTACTGATGATAAAAAGAATAGGAAAAAATCCTTAAAAACTAGGTTGAATAAGAGGTTAGAATTAGTAGGCATCTCAACATATTATTACAATTATGGCATCCAACTTAATACATAATTTGCTTTGCTTCATACAAATATATTTTTCTGCTTTTGTTTTCTATGGTCAATTACCACTGTCTGTCATGTTGTACTATTATCACTTTTAGAAAGTGATTCTATCATACAAAACCAACATAATCTAAAATGACTTCCTGAGATCATGACCCAAGAGCTTATATATAAAACAAATGTTTTTAAAACTGTGCCTATAATAGCACACAACAGCAAGTATTAGATTCCACAATCATAATATTTGGGAAATAAAATGTTATGGACTCCAAGAGAACTGTATATATTTCTAACTCTATTCAAAAATGTCCTGTAACTCTAGATAGAATTTCCCTGGGCTATAGAAAAGCACAGATGGTATTAGTGTTTATTAGATCCATGAAGCTTGCTTTAAAAAATATATTTGAAACACTGAAGTTCTGCTAATATGGCAAGAATATGGAGATCAGAAACAACAATGCAAAGTAGACATTCCTTGTGGGTGGAAGAAAATAAAAATATTTATATTAACCAAGTCTAAGTGCAACAGCTCAATTAATACAAAACATTAATTTATTTTGGGCTTGGTTATAAAATTAGTTTTAGATTGAGCTTATAAAGTAATTAGGCTAATATTGTCTCCTCTGAGAGGAACCTGGAACAGTGCTATACCATCAGTCCAGTTCATTGTCTAAAGAAAGAAACTGATGCATAAACAGAAAAAAAAAACAATGGATTGTGATAATTTCTCAAAAAATGTATGATGAAGTGTTACAGCAGCAGAGTAGGAGCAGCACTTGAGATTTGAGAAGATCCTCAAAGAAGAGTTTAGCCCATGTATTGAAAGATAAGTGGGAATTTGTCAATGAGAGGTGAAAGAAGGCATTCTGTGCATATCTGTGATTTCCCAATGGCTAAGATATGAAGTACTTGCAAGAATGAAGAAGAGTGATGATTAGAGAGTTTAAAAACAACTTGGATTCATATTATATGTCTTGGTAAAAAATTGATTTTTATCTCTCTTGGTCTTGGGAATCAGTAGAAGCCTTTATTTTTTTCCCTTGAATAAGATTTTATTTTGAAATAGTTTAAGATAAACAAGTTTTTAAAATAGTACAGAGGTTCCCAAAGAAACTTGTAAGCAAAGAAGTTCATCCAAACCAAAAAATTGATACAGGTATGCTATTAACTAGACTACAGATCATACTGTGATTTCATCTACTTTTCAGTCATCTTTTCTTCCCTTAGTATATAGTTCTATAGATTCCATGACATATATAGATTAGTGTATCACTACAATCAAGATAGAGTACTGTTCTATCAACATAAAGAAATTTATTTTTTAATAGTCACAACCCTCCACTTCCTCATACCATAACCCCTAATAACCACTGATCTGTTCTCCATCCCTACATTTCATCATATTTAGGCTTTTAAATAAATAGAATCACACAGTAAGTAACCTTTTGAGATAGGCTTTTTTCCCACTTAGCCTCAATATATATTCAAGTTATTGTGTCTATTAATAGCTTATTCTTTTTCATTTCTGAGTAGTATTCTGTTGTAATGATGTACCACAGTTTGTTTATTCATTCATTCATTGAACGACAATTGAGTTTTTCCAGATTAGGGCTATTACAAATAAAGTTCCTATGCATTTTAGTGTTCTGGTTTTTCGTGAATGTAAGTTTCCATTTCTCTGAGATAAACACTAAAGATTGTGATTTATATGTCATGTGATAAAGATATGGTTAACTTTATAAAAGACTGCCAAACTGTTTTTCAGAATAAATGTATCGATTTACATTCTCACCACCAATGCAGGAGAGATCCAGTTGTTCCACATATTTACCAGCACTTGATATTGTCAGCATGGTTTTACTTTTCCCATTCTATTAAGTGTATAGTGGCATGTTATTGTAGCTTTACTTTGCTTTTCTCTAATAGCTAATGATATTGCATCAAAAACCTTTTAAACCTTTAAAAATGATATTATGATATAATGGGTAGGTAACTTTGGGAACTATGTAGAGAATTTAATGAGATGTCCAGGAATGAAAGACTAAGGAACAACTGAGAGTAGGGACACAAGTCAGGATGTTCAGCTATAGGCCAGAGAATAGATAAAGTTTGCCTGAAGTAAAGTATTGACAAAAGGCAAGGAGACGAGAGGAGAGGTTGGATTTGAGAAGCATTTGGAAGTCGATTCAAAAGGATTTAATGAACAGTTTATTGTGGGAATGAAAAAAGGAAGTTGTCCATGTCAATTCTTAGGTTTTAAGCTTCAAAAAAGTATGTAGATAATGGCTATAGTAATCAAAATTAAGAATAATAGAGGGAAATAGTTTGAAGAGAGGAAATGATAGATATTTTTGGCCATATTAAAACTGAGGTATCTACAGGACATACCAAAATATCTAACTCAGTAGGAAAAATATTATTCAGAAAGGACATTTGGTTTATGAAGAATAAAGACCTATTGGATTAAGTGGAATGTTTTACTTAAAAGTAGTTTCCTACTCTTTTCAGGAATATTATTGGCAATTAATCTTTGACCTCTAAGCCAGTTCACATTAAAAATAAGACCACACCAAAAGACATTTTAGATTGAGAAACTAATGTGAACAATTCATGGGGAGAAAATTGAAATATGGCAATAGTCTATTGTACAGCTGTCTTGAAGGGGAATTTGAAGGCCATAACTGTCGAAGGATTTTCCTAACTTACAGAAGCCTGTGTACACTACCAGAAGAATTGATGTTTGCAATTCCACCCACTGTGTACTTTTTCATGATGAGAGAAATCATTCAGGACAACGCAGTTAGCAAACCATAACTCAAAATCGATAGACCCCCACCCCCCGCATTTTTGTTATTTCATGATAAGATAATGGCAATATATAAAATAAGCATAATACTAATAGTATATAAACCATAAAGTAAAATGTTTAACATATATTATTTTATTCAACCCTAAACATCCTCTATTATAACTTGGTGAGAAAAGCAGTAACATCTCCATGTTAAATATTAAAGAACCTTAAAACTAGAATAAATGCAAAGAACATGACACGCGGTATGGATGACCTTTTTTTCTGAAAATAGTTTAAATTCCTTTCCCCTATACCAGTATTAGACTGAGAAATGGAGTCTCTCCTGAGAACCATCTAAGTACTGGTATATCTGCTTGAATCACAAACACATGATTATAAGGCAAATGTAATCCATATCTATGTTGTTAAAAAAGATGAAAATCCATAAAGTACTGTGATCATATTTAGAGAATTTTCAATCAAATGATTCTGTCAATTCCTAAATATGCTGATAGCAACAAAGAAACAGATGTTTGGTTTTATTCCATTGCCAGTGATATGGGAAAAAAAAGCTATTAATAAGCATAAATTCTACTAAAGTTGAAAGACATGGAATATTCATATAAATGGAGTACATTTTACCACTTTTTATACTCAAGAAAATAACATGAAAAATAACTGTACAGGGTACTAGGCTTAATACTCAGATAGTGAAATAATCTGCACAACAAACTCCCATGACACAAATTTACCTCTGCAACGAACCTGCACATGCACCCCAAACTTAAAATAAAAATTAAAAAAGAAAAAAATAGTTATATAGTAAAGAAAAAGTAGTAAGTGTCAGCGGGAGACTTCAAAATTATGAACAAAGTAAAAGAGGAACGAGGGTGGGGTGTCAGATCTAAATAAAAGAAATACAAAAAATAATAAAGAAACAACAAAATTTGCCAAAAATATCCATACTAGAGAAACTACTTTTTTAATAATCATGAAAAAAGCATGATTATATAAATAAAAGAAAAAAGCAATGACTACTAAAATAGAATATAAAACAATAAAGAAAACCTGTAGTAAACTAAGAAATTGTTGAGAAAAATATTATTGGTATTTTCAAAAGGCAAAATTGAAGTGGCAGTATTAAAAAAGGGTTGTTGCACACTGTGTATATTTAAAAGGCAAATTAGAAAAATGGCTTAATTACCTATGTAGCTTATTCCTGCAGAAGAAACATACCTCAAAAATAGAATGGGTCAACTCATGGTTAATAAATACATCAGGAGAAACAGGACATTCCAGCAATGAAAGAAACATCATTAAGGAAACAATTGAGGACAAACATCCTGACTAATGAAAAGCCCAATTCTTTGATATCACACACAGCTCAATTCAGGAATGATATTCCAAAAAATAATCAAAGTGCCTTTAGAACTATTACCCATGCTTTTACTTTCAGAAGGCATTTTGTAGTTACAAAAGAAAGAACAGAGATATTTGTAATTGTATCTATAAGGATGCAAACTGCCCTCTGCCCTAAAATCTTTAATGACAGTACCACTGCTGTAAATATATGTAAACATACTTTAGACACATGCAAGTTTTTTGAGGTTATATCAATAACAGGTTTCATATAACAAACTAAAAATAAGCAAAAAAAATGGAAAAAGGGTATGTAACATGCATTTACTATAGTTGACATGCAAACTTAGAGTCCCTGCTTTAAAAAATCAACAATGAGGCTGGGCACGGTGGCTCACTCCTATAATCCCAGCACTTTGGGAGGCCAAGGTAGGCAGATCACTTGAGGTCAGCAGTTCGAGACCAGCCTGTCCAATATGTTGAAACTGCATCTCCACTAAAAATACAAAAATTAGCCAGGCGTGGTGGCAGGGCCCTGTAGTCCCAGCTACTCGGGAGGCTGAGGCAGGAGAATCGCTTGAACCCAGGAGGCAGAGGTTGCAGTGAGCCGAGATCACACCACACGCCACTACACTCCAGCCTGGGTGACAGAGCGAGACTCCATCTCCAAAAAAAAAAAAAAAAAAAATCAACTATGAAGTTCAACAATTGCAAAATGTTTAATCAAAAGAGTTTATCAAGAGAATGAAAAAGAATGTAGCTATTAGAATTTATAAAGCTATAAACTATATCAGTATAGAAAAAGATATATTGGAAGAAATAAAACAGTCGGTACTTTTAATGTATTCATTTTTTTCTCCCAATGTATCAAATATTGAATAAAAACATATATGCACGAAATATGGTGCTATAATCAAATGGATACTCAATAAATACTATCAATATATGGCGGCTTGAGGTGATAAAAATATACAGACAGGTCAGTTTGGAACCATGCATAAAATTATTTATGAAAAATAGAAGCTCCATATTCATTTATTTAACAAAGATGTATAGACTATGTGCTTAACAAAATAAACACTGAAAGAAGCCATCTTCATGGAAATACAGGATTATATTGGAAAAAAAGTCACAATGCTTTCTTTCCTGATTTATTAAGGAAAATTACAAAGATTTTGGACTCAATAAAATATATTTACTTCGTTAAAAAAACACAAACCCATGCATACTAATAAGTAGAGAACCTCGGTTGCTGCTTCTGTTGATTACGGAGACTACTGGGATAAGGCAATCAAAACTAAGAAATAATTTGCCATTCTCTTGGAAGCCAGAGAAAAAGAAAAACACCAGAAACCTAGCCCTGGAATGTCATTGAATAGCTGTAGGATAGTGGCAAGGATGTCAGCATCTGTAACACTCGATTTTCTCTTCTGCAAAAATGAAACTATTAGTATTCCACCATATTGCAATTAATATCACTTGAGCTAATGTATACAAGCAGTATGAAATCCCACAGGATTCACATGTAAAATATTGGATTTTTTATATTTTAATATGTAAAATGTAAGTTGTTTCTTTTCTCTCTGATACGAAATGCAGTTTTCATTCCACAGTTTCACTCTCATACACTTAATAACTTTTGTTAACGTAACAATACAGCGTGAGCGTTCCTGGGGCTATGCCTGACCCAAAGCAGACACTTAGTAAAATGTCTGTGGAACCTAAATTTATTTTAAGATACAATTGGAATCTAAACTAAACGAGTTTTCAAATTCAGAATCAGGCATATTTGCTGCAAAGCATTATGGGTCTCATTTCCATTTCCAAATCCACCAAGTCCATCCTTTCACGCATCATGTTACTCAGGGATAAAGCACATCTAAGTGAAACAGAAGTTAAATCTGCTCTTTCATAACCCAGAGACATTAATTACAATGGAATAGCATGATAAACACCGTGAACGATATGGAGATTAATAGAAAAAATATGAAAAGAAAATGACAGCAGCTAGGAAGAAACAAAAAGGATGGGTGGAAATATGGGAGGTTGGCCTCCAAAGGGCAAGTAAAGTAGAACTAAAATAAAACCTGGTGATTTTGATCTGCATGTGTAATTAATATAGTTTCTGGTGGGGGGTGATGGGAGAAATGGGGATAAAGAAAAGCCCTGAGTAGCAACCTTCTTGCCTGAATTGTGAAGGCAACACGAATACACAGATCACATCTTGGGAAAAATAAATGTGACCCCTTAAAATTTGCACCATATTATTGAAATCTCTTTGACACAAGTAACCATAGAAGACACAGGTAACATATGGGTTGCTCTTTATGTAGGGCTTTAGCAGTCTATTCAGTCTTTTACCATGTGACTACTTTGTATGTGGAAAAATTGTTACATAAACAAAATAGAAGCATTTTCTCTTTGATACCAAGAGTAGAGCTAAGACCAATAAATCAATATTAAGGGAAAATTTTACCTTAGATATAAGAAAATAATTTTCTAACAGCTCAAATTATACTCAGTTGTTGCTATTAACTAACAACCCTTATGATATCTGCATACTAATACTTGTAAAATCAAGATTAATTTGATATTCATTTCTGGTAGGGGATGGGGTTATGTCATTTTCGTACAGTCTTGGAGAGAAAATAATTTGTTAAATGCAATTTGCTAGCATCTATTAGAAATCTTGTAAAGGTTATATATTTTTAATTTCACTTAATATTTCTGCTTTTATTTTTCTACACATGACCATAAATATATATCTTCATGTATGCATGATGAAGCATGGTAACAGATTTTTTAATGGAATAAGCTATTATGGTACTTTCATTCTATGAAATATTACGTAGTTCTCAATCAAAATGAGAGGGATAGCTGTATAAAACCTAAGCTATTGTTAACAGAAAAAAAGCATGTAAACAAAATTATTAAATTATGGTTTTAATAAAATCCATATATATGAATTTGGACACATGTATACACAAGTAAAGTCAGAGAAAATGACAGAATATAATGTATGTTGAAATGATAGCAATGACTACCACTAAAAAAAAATCAGAATAGAATGGTAATTTAAAATAAATATAAGACAGCAGTGGGCAGGATGAGGACACATTTAAATCTACATAATACTGCATTGTGTAAGCTAAATTTTTCAAGACCTGCTTGTGTAATTATTTTTAAAAAGAAAAAAGGTTTGTTTCCTTGTGTTGAGAATTATTCAACATGGAAAGTGCTACAGAAGAGAGAGCTCATTGACTCCATTTGTTCTAATAAAACAAACAAACAAGCAACAAAAAACCCTATATATTTTATACAAGTAGAAACCCTATATATTTTATACAAGTAGAAATAACTAGCAATATATTTCTATAGGGAGAAATAAGCCAGCATATTTTCAACGTTCTTAAGATTTCATTTCTAAAGCAAATAAAACAAGGCAAAGCCAATATTGTAAAAAAAATTAATCCTAAGTCTACATGAACTTAGCTGGGTACCAGTTGAGATATTTGAAGTTTATCTACCCTGTAGTCCTCACATTTAAAATTTTTCTCAATAGTTGAATGTAAGTTATTTACTTCTGGATTGAACAATAAAATGTAAATGGAGGTTTCCAGGAAGATGAATTGAGTGTGCCATACTGCCTGCCTCTGTAGGCTCCACCTCTGGGGGCAGGGCACAGACAAACAAAAAGACAGCAGTAACCTCTGCAGACTTAAATGTCCCTGTCTGACAGCTTTGAGGAGAGCAGTGGTGTTCCCAGCACGCAGCTGGAGATCTGAGAACTGGCAGACTGCCTCCTCAAGTGGGTCCCTGACCCCTGACCCCCGAGCAGCCTAACTGGGAGTCACCCCCCAGTAGGGGCAGACTGACACCTCACACAGCGGGTACTCCTCTGAGACAAAACTTGCAGAGGAACGATCAGACAGCAGCATTCGCGGTTCATGAAAATCCGCTGTTCTGCAGCCACCGCTGCTGGTACCCAGGCAAACAGCGTCTGGAGTGGACCTCTAGCAAACTCCAACAGACCTGCAGCTGAGGGTCCTGTCTGTTAGAAGGAAAACTAACAAACAGAAAGGACATCCACACCAAAAACCCATCTGTACATCACCATCATCAAAGACCAAAAGTAGATAAAACCACAAAGATGGGGAAAAAACAGAGCAGAAAAACTGGAAACTCTAAAAAGCAGAGCGCCTCTCCTCCTCCAAAGGAACGCAGCTCCTCACCAGCAACAGAACAAAGCTGGACAGAGAATGACTTCAACGAGTCGAGAGAAGAAGGCTTCAGATGATCAGACTACTCCAAGCTACAGGAGGAAATCCAAACCAAAGGCAAAGAAGTTGAAAACTTTGAAAAAAATTTAGACGAATGTATAACTAGAATAACCAATACAGAGAAGTGCTTTAAAGGAGCTGATGGAGCTGAAAGCCAAGGCTCAAGAACTACGTGAAGAATGCAGAAGCCTCAGGAGCCAATGCGATCAACTGGAAGAAAGGGTATCAGTGATGGAAGATGAAATGAATGAAATGAAGCGAGAAGGGAAGTTTAGAGAAAAAAGAATAAAAAGAAACAAACAAAGCCTCCAAGAAATATGGGACTATGTGAAAAGACCAAATCTACATCTGATTGGTGTACCTGAAAGTGACGGGAGAATGGAACCAAGTTGGAAAACACTCTGCAGGGTATTATCCAGGAGAACTTCCCCAATCTAGCAAGGCAGGCCAACATTCAGATTCAGGAAATACAGAGAACACCACAAAGATACTCCTCGAGAAGAGCAACTCCAAGACACGTAATTGTCAGATTCACCAAAGTTGAAATGAAGGAAAAAATGTTAAGGGCAGCCAGAGAGAAAGGTCAGGTTACCCACAAAGGGAAGCCCATCAGACTAACAGCGGATCTCTCGGCAGAAACCCTACAAGCCAGAAGAGAGTGGGGGCCAATATTTAACATTCTTAAAGAAAAGAATTTTCAACCCAGAATTTCATATCCAGCCTAACTAAGCTTCATAAGTGAAGGAGAAATAAAATACTTTACAGACAAGCAAATGCTGAGAGATTTTATCACCACCAGGCCTGCCCTAAAAGTGCTCCTGAAGGAAGCACTAAACATGGAAAGGAACAACCGGTACCAGCCACTGCAAAATCATGCCAAATTGTAAAGACCATCGAGGCTAGGAAGAAACTGCATCAACTAACGAGCAAAATAACCAGCTAACATCATCATGACAGGATCAACTTCACACATAACAATATTAACTTTAAATGTAAATGGATTAAATGCTCCAACTAAAAGACACAGACTGGCAAATTGGATAAAGAGTCAAGACCCAACAGTGTGCTGTATTCAGGAAACTCATCTCACATGCAGAGACACACATAGGCTCAAAATGAAAGGATGGAGGAAGATCTACCAAGCAAATGGAAAACAAAAAAAGGCAGGGTTTGCAATCCTAGTCTCTGATAAAACAGACTTTAAACCAACAAAGATCAAAAGAGACAAAGAAGGCCATTACATAATGGTAAAGGGATCAATTCAACAAGAAGAGCTAACTATCCTAAATATATATGCACACAATACAGGAGCACCCAGATTCATAAAGCAAGTCCTGAGTGACCTACAAAGAGACTTAGACTCCCACACAATAATAATGGGAGACTTTAACACCCCACTGTCAACATTAGACAGATCAATGAGACAGAAAGTTAACAAGGATACCCAGGAATTGAACTCAGCTCTGCACCAAGTGGACCTAATCGACATCTGCAGAACTCTCCACCCCAAATCAACAGAATATACATTTTTTCAGCACCACACCACACCTATTCCAAAATTGAACACATAGTTGGAAGTAAAGCTCTCCTCAGCAATTGTCTATGTTTTTATGTAGTCTGTAATACTTTCCTCTTATAGACCAAACTTCAGGTTTTTTAGGAAAAGTTGGAGCTCTGTGCATTATGCCCCACCAGCTTCAGGTTCCGTTGTCAACCTACCCCATATGTATAAACCATCTGTTTGTCATGTTTTGGCTTTATCCAAACATCTTCACAAAGAGGCCATCCGTTCCCTTCTTTTAGATATCTATTTATGGCACTTTCTCTCTTATCTATTTTACAACATTTTTGCATATGTCAAAAATTCAATTACTAGTCACATATTAGTATGTCGTCTACTCAGGAGGAGTCTTAGTGATCCAAAGTGCATGGATAGTACCGAGAGACTGATAGATCTATCTAAAATGAAGGGTATGGACATTGCCATAAAAGCCTCACAATGCATGAAATGGATAATAGATGTGAGATTCCCTGGGGAGCTGTGTGCACGTGACTTCCAAAACGCTGTCATTTCACTATGTAGAAGGACAATATGAATTTACATGGAAATTTATTTCCACCATCAGTAATATATTCCTATTGCAAATGTACATTTTAGAGAAAGTATATTTTCAGTTGAAGTGAAAAAAAAGAGATGCACAAATAGATGTTTGAATGGCATTTGTATAATTCTGGGTCAAGTTTTTAGGACAAGCTTACCAAAGAAATTTTTAAGGTTAAATAAAAAGCAAACTTTTAGTGTATCAGGGTGTTTGCTAAAAGCAGAGCACTGTGACAAACATAAAAAGCAGAAACATTAAAAGCAGAAAACTCTTTATTTTCTCTGCTTCCCTGGGAGAAAAACACCAACAGAAGAATTCGGTAGATAAATGATGTTTCCAACTGTGTTGGGAACTTGGAGTTGTGAGATTACAATTGGGACCACAGATTCAGACACCATCATCACCAACTATTTTTGTTCACATTTAAAAATAAAAAGTCAAAAGAAATTTACTAAAATCTGTATATGTCTGGTTACATGTTTATATGGTTAAAATTTAATATATATACTTTTATATAACTGCATTATCTATCAATGTATTTATACATCTGTAACTTTTATCTACAAATATGTTTCCAAGTTCTATGGATAATAGATGAGCAAATCAATTACATATGAAGGTTATCTAATAAACATTATCAAATTTATTTAGACATCAACACTTGCAGGAAGATTTTGGTATAATAAAATAGACAGACAGATAGATAGATAGATAGATAGATAGATAGATAGATAGATAGATAGATAGATAAGGTAGATAGGCTAGATAGTTCAACACAAAATGTTAACATAAAATATGACAAAGGCATTGGAATAGAAATAAAGCAAATATGTTAAACATAACTGTAGCTTTGAGAAAGCATAAAGCAAGCCTGAATAAAAACTTCTACTATTCCAGATGAAGAGATAATTTTATGAAACATAAAAGGATATGTCTATTGCTTGGAAAGGATTGTAGTTTTTCTTAGCATTCATGTCTAAGTGAAATTTCTTACACAGATGTACACAGAAAAGCAATATTATTTTCTCCAATAAGAACACAGACTAGTGACTCTTGATTGATCATCCACAGTGCATTACACTAAGCCATTTTACAAATGGGCTCTCAAATTTTGACATTAGGGAAGTAAGTCAATTTGAGCCAAGAATTTCAATAAAGCTATGCATGAACATGAATCTTGATATAGGTTAAGATTCTGGATCTAGAGCAGCCTTTGACCTCCATCTGCCTAGAACAGACATAATTTTCTTTTCATTCATTTTTGGTGAAAAATATAGGCTGGTGTGATTATTTCTGTGATGTAATTCAATAACTAAAATGTACACTCTTGTCTCAAAGTCCTCAACATCACCTTGTCCTAAACTCCTGGTCCAAGACCAATCTACCCTCCATCCTCTTGTTGCCTGGATCCCTTTTCTTTGTGGGTATGACCATTGGAGCACTGAAAAGATGATATAAGTGTCAGGTGAGTTCCATGTTATACATTTGATTTATGAGGGAATGCAGGCTGCTTTGGGAATTTCCTCTGGCACCTTAGCCCTTTTTCTCCTTTCCTTTTCTCCATATTCCAGGACCATCTGTAAAAGGCAGGGATGAGAGAGAGTTCAATGCCTTTCTCCTCCTCTTGATAAGAAGGGGTAGGATTATGGATAACTACAACTTTGAGAATTCTCCCTCTTACCTTCTGTAGTCCTCTAGATGTGGTCCAGGGGATTGGGGTTTTCAGAAGTTGTGTTTTTGCTGTGCCCTGTCCTAGAAGGCCCTGCAGAAGCTGACTAAAATGGGTAATTTTCTGAACTTAGAAATTGGAGCACTTAGTTTACTCTGCTTGTCAGCATTCTCACGGAAGCAAGAAACAGTCCTCAAAGGCACTTTATAACTGATACCATATAAAAACAATTTTTGCTACATTTGACATGACATACTCTTACAGTGATGTCTCTGGCAGAACAATGCACACTCAGTGAGTTGAGGAACAAGTTGCTGCAAAGAAGTGATAAGGCTTCATGTAAAGGCATGCTAGTGTTAAAGAAAGATGCCCTATATGCCAGAAATTGTAAGAAATTTGCATTATGACTGTATCAGAGAATATGGTCAGGACAGTAAAGAGTTTTTTGGTTCTCCTCAAATTAAAAACAACTAATTCAATAAGTATGGAAATATGTTTTCAATATTCTATAACTTTTTTATACTTTAATTCCTTCAAGAGTGTCATTAAATAATCCAGTTTTTTTAAGTATCCTGCAAACACCAAAGGTTGACAATCAAAGTTTTAAGTCAACATGTGAAGTTGCCATTGCTACTTATCAGGGCAATAAAGTCAATGACTGATATATTTTTTCAGTTTTTTAAATTTATTTTTTAATTAAATTTTAGTGTTTATTTTAGATATGGGGGGATACATGTGCAGGTTTGTTACATAGGTATATTGCATAATCCTGAGTTTGGGGGTATGGATCCTGTCATCCAGGGAGTTAGCATAGGATCCAATAGGTAGTTTTTCAACCCTTCCCCACCTCTCTCTCCCCTCTCTTAGTCCCCGGTGTCTATTGCTTCCATCTACATGTCCATGTAAACTCAATGTCCAGCTCTTATTCATTAGTGAGAACATGTGGTATTTGATTTTCTGTTTCTGCATTAATTCACTTAGGATTATGGACTTCAGCTTAATCCATGTTGCTTAAAAGGACATAATTTGATTCTTTATTATGACTGCATAGTGTTCCTTGGTACCTGTATGTACCACATTTTCTTTATCCAATCCACCACTAATGGATACCTAGGTTGAGTTCATGTCTTTGTTATTGTGAATAGCACAGCAAAGAAAATATAAGTGCGTGTACTTAACTGATGTATTTGTACAGACCACCTCTTAACAACTCCATTTTGACTGGCCTTTTTGTATGTCGTCTGCTCTGATGAAACAGCGTCAAGACAATTTAAGAGTATCTTTGCACAAGTTCTTCCCTTCTGAAACACTCTTCTCTCTTTACTTTTTTGCTCTTTGGATCTCAATTGAGCCAAGCCCTCCTATTGCACATCTCCTTGTCATTTTTTAATTATACTTTCTCTGTGACCAGACTACATAGACTAAAAATCCACTCTCACCACTTAATTACATGTGAACATGAACAGACTCATCTAGCCTGACTTTGTCATCTTTTTCTTATTTGTCAAATAGAGATAATAACAGTAGCTTTTCATAAGGTTGTTGGGAAGATTGAATGAGTTAAGATAAAGCACTCAAACTATATAAATGTCTTATTGTACTCAGAGCTATGTTAAGTGTTAGGTATTATTACATTTATTATCGGTATTCACATTTTATTATTGTTGTATTGGTGGGCATACAGGCTGCTTTGGATACCCTTGGAATCATGTTAATCTTTCTCTACCTTTTTATTCTCAGCATCTAGTTCAATGCCACACACACACAAACATGCTTCACAAATGTCTGTTGACAAATCAGGTAAATGGCATGGCTTACTGATGTCTAACTGTGGAGATAGTTATCACTCATGGGCCCACTGAGAGCAAAAAGAAAGCTGACAATGGTAAAATAAACTCAGATAGGACTCAGAAGGACCTGTTTTTACTGACTTGGTTTTAGGATATATCTACACATAGAGAAGGGTTCGGACAATTATAGTTAGCAAATCAAGCAACAACAGTGTTTCAGACACTTTGATACCAAAATAATTTTCCTCACTTTAAATATAGCAGTTTTTCCATAAAAATGGCATGCATCAGCCAGGTAAAAAAGATACCATGTGTATATATCACTCATGTGTATATATCATCATGCATCAGCAAGGTAAAAAAGATACCATGTGTATATATCATCTTTTTTCCTGCAGAAAAAAGATGACACTCAAATTTGGTAATTTGAGGAATGTCTAAAACAAGCACTATTTGAATAGATGTGGGCAGGTTATAGGAAAATTGAAAAGGAAGGCAGTAACCTACAGACTATGCCTGAAAGGATGGAGGGAAATAAGAGTTTGCAGGAATCTGGAGGGAAAACTGTGTGGAGAGAACACTTGACAAGAAATGTGACCTCTGGTGGGCAGATGCAGTCAGCTTGGAGAGAGGAAGCCAGGGAAACAAGTACCTTACTTCTCTCTTCCTCAGATACCTTTTCCTGCCATCATTCCTCCAGAAGTTTCTCTTGACAGCCAAACAACCAGGAGCCAGTAGAAAGAAAACTCTAAGTTAGAATTCACACACGTCAGTTTCATGAACACAGAGCAGGGTAGGGAAGGCTGAAGAGTAATTTGGAAGAGCAAAGGAAAGATGTCGAATGCATAAAGTCCACTAAGTTTGGGAAACATTGGGTTAAACAAAGCTACATAATTTTCTTTTCTGCAGGATTTCTCAGATCCTTTAAATGTGAATGCAAACTACAACTCTCCAGGAAGAGGGAAAAAATGTGCCAAGCATGCCAAATGTTTAACCACACAACCTCCCATTCTTGTAGAACACCTTAACAGACTCTTGTCCCATGTGACACACTCTAACATTTTCCAATGTTAGTATCTTGTAAATATTCAGGGTCAACCCATCATACCCCAAGTATTAAATTAATTTTGCCTGAAGAGTTGGTGTCTTAATTGGTAGAATTAGTATATTCCATTTCTCTAGCCCAAATTGTAGAACTTTCAGAGCTTCAAATAATTCTGGGCATTCCTCTACTCTGATGGGTTCAATCGGCAGATAAAATAATGAAGACATTGAAAAATAAAGTGGCTTGGGCAAAAACGAGAGCTATTCCTCTTGCACCAAAATTTAGAATTTTAACATGAGTCTCTAGACTCGGTCTTACAACTTTCCAAACTATCAGGTTTAGAACACAATGGAGTTTTTAAAACCAGATTCAGAAATTAATGCACACACAGTTAATATAGGTAGATGGTACATCCTATTTTCTGCACTGCTAAGATATCCACTAGGCCTATATTACTTCCATCAGAAGCAAATAAACTTGCCCTTTTCATAACCCAAAAGTAGAATTCAAGAATTCATTGCCCTCAAAATTGGTTCACCCAACTTGATTTTTTTCTGTAAAACTGGGTTCTAAATAAAGTTCTCAGTATATAAATGAACACAGAGTGTTGTGCAAGTGGGCTTGCCCTTGGTAACAGACACAGCTGTGCCTATCAAACACAAAATATGGTATTTAATTTTGGAAAATTGCTAACAGCAGGCAGAACTGTACAAAGGACAGTCACCTTCAACTGTCACTTAGGAAGAAACAAAGATATCAGGAACAGTACCATTTTTCCAAATATTTCCAGGCTACAGTTGCATTCGGTGTCTTTCCAGAACAACTGAACAATGAAATGGATAGTAATCTGCCAAATGCATACAGCTGTATGCCTGTTTCCTGGGGTTTATATTAGGGCCTGGGGAAACAAAGTTAAGGAAGTAAGGCTGCAGGGTAGCATCAGTCCATCCACTACAGTCCGATTCAGATTCAGATGGTCAGATTGGACTCTAAAGTGGAATTCCTAGTATAATACAGTCTTCACTTCCTTACAATATGGTTCCTGGTTTTTTATCCTTTACATTGGCACTGTTCAAGCAGCACCTTTTGCCACCATGCAATTATCTTTTGGCAACCCTGGGCAGCTGTTTGTGGAGAGTGTGTGGTGGCATTGAACACCTACATGCTTATATATACAGGTGGCTGAAGTTAACCAATTATTCAGAGGCAGTTAGATGAATCATGCATTTAAGGACTTGTCTGATTCACATCTCTACCTCATATGTAGAGGATTCTTTTCTCCCCAGTAAAATTTTATGGAGATTTACTATGGAGGGCAGATGTCCTGGTTCTAGCACGACATGGTGGACTGGAATGGAATCAAAGATGCTCTTCCAATCTTTTAGGTGTAATACATCAGTGTTAACACTCACTCATTCATATAGCAGGGGTAAATAATTAAGAGTGTGGCATCATAGAAGCAGCAAGTCTTGAATTGTGGAGAGTCCTGCTTTTTTGTTGTCATTTTATTTTCAGTTTAGCTGAAAGTACACAGTCTTCCTTGTTTCGAACATTTTCTACTTTATGGCAATAGATTAAATTTAATCATGTTTTAGTTCACAAATTGTTTCTTGGTGTATATGTGTTTTTATTTTCCACTATGTCATTATTTCAAAAGAATCTACTGCTCTTCTGGTTAAATTCGCTTACCAACACTCTTTGCCTCTAAAAAAAAAGATGAATAACAGAGCCCAATTTGAAATGGCCATCTCTGTTACTCCAATTAACATACTGTATGTACGTGTGTATTGCAAAAAATAACTAGATTTTCCTGGGCTTGGCATCACTAAAATGTCCAAAAAATATCTTATTCCCATGAACATAAACTTCAAAATGTCAACTGCATTTACAATTACGAATAATAGCGAGCTGCCATTCCCAAGGGAAATAATGAAAGAAATATTTCATAGTTTTTTTAGCAAAAACAAATGATTTGCATGTTTCCACCAAAAGGGAATAAAACCCTTAATATGGAATATCCCTCAGGTCTCCTTTTTGGAAACAAAATTCATAACCACCTGCCATTTGATGAAATCTAATAAATTCCTAATATAGCATACACTCCTCCAAAGTGTTCATTGTTCAAAGAAACTCAAGTGAAAATAAGGTATGAAATCCTCATGTGCACAGAGAGATAAAGATAAATGCAGCATTTTTAAAATATCTGTTTTTTTCTAGTACAAAGAAAACATATCGGAAATATTAAAGTGAGCATAATTTCATCCCACAGCAATAGTTTCAACTATACTTTAATTCTACCAGGTAGACTCACACATTTCCTTAATGGGTGTAAAATTTATTAACAACATTTTAGTTCTGTTTTTCTTAGAGAATATGCATAAACCCTGTGTTTTGATTCATGTCATTTTATTCCTATTATTTATCCAAAGGGTAATTAAAATTTCTTTTTTGATGATGTAGATGGAATATGAAAATAGAAGGGAGGTTATTGACCCATTAAATAGTTAAATGAAAATCACCTTCACAGATGTTTGGTGGAGAAAAATATGCTATGCATAGAAAAGCTGAAATGTTTTTCCACAAATGTTAGGCATTGGGCTGAAATTACAATAGCCTTTCATGTCCAGTTTTGTTACAATTCCATTAAGGCAACTGCAGAGATTGGTAAATAGCTGTTAAGATAGGAGAGTCACCATATGTAATATAGTTTGTGCTAGTCATTGTGTAAGCATTTTATATACATTCTCTCATTGACACATTTAACAGCCTGTGAAGTTCCTATTTTATTCCCACCTCACATACTGAGAAACTACAGCTCAGAGAAACAAAGTAAACTGGGTTCCTACTTGAACCTAGTTTTTATGTACTATGCATGGTTTCATATGTTTACTGATATACATATATAAAATTTTATTTATATATAATATATTATATATATAAAATAAACCATAAAGTCAGAAATTTAGAATGAAATTTAATATGACTATAATTTATTTGCTGATTCCAAGATAGGCATCTATATTTTCCCAACATTAAAATAAAGATCATCTGGACAATCTTCTAACCAACTCCGAACAGTTCTTTCTGGAGTTTTTCTCCTTTTATTTCTCCTACTTGGAGTTGTAGGAGAAATCTGTGTCTCAGAGAAATAAACAAAAGGTGTTCTATTTTAAAATAAAAAGACAGAAATTAGCAGCTTGGACATTTCACAAAAGAAGCTAATTAATTACCAAGCTAACTGGAGGTTTCCTCCATTCATGGGCATACTGGAATTGCAAAATCTAGTTGTGAGCATAGAATAATATCTATAAAAAGTCTTTAAGATAGCATGAAAAACATAGCATAATATCAGTAACAAATATTTTATAATGTCTAAAATTTTATAACTTCTTTTGTCTATTTTCTTAAAACTCCCTTATGCCATAATTTGGCTGTATTTATGTGATAAACACACTCTTATCTTTGTAATGAATTTTTAAGGAAAAGACAGAACCATGTAAAATATGCTTTTGAAAAATGGGCACATTATGCATGTGAATGCTCTCTCTCTACTAATTAATGTAATGTGGCAGTATCCAACAAACCAGAGCAGATGGGGCTCTAAGTTGTACCAGCCTGTGCCGTTCTTAGGGGGAACAATTTTTGTTCACATCTCTAAATAAAGAGAGTGAGATTTTGGGAAGGATAGTATAATTTAACAAACAGCAGAGAGTGTGACCATTCAGACTGCTTTTTCCTGTCAACCACTTGAATGCAAAACCTGTTTCAGAGATGAAGCAATAGAAAGTGTTGGAAGCAAGACAGATACGAGTTGGAATCCCAACCATTGCCATGGGTGACCACTAAACCTCAGCTTCCTCATCGGCAGTATGGGGATAACCATAGTAGCAAACATTTCTAAAGGTAATTGTGAGAAGTACTTTTATGACTGCACAATTAATGCTGCTTCTAGTACCACTACAACTGCTGCTATTCTATTACTATCAGTGCCTCTATTACTATCAGAGCCACAGAGCTCTAGCTTATAAGCCCATCTATTCATTTCTAGACTGACATGATCATTTTTGCATATTCTCATTGCCTCCCATTTCTACCTTCTCTAACTTATCCTGCAAATCACTACCTAATTATATGTCAATATTCTGTTTTGAACTCTAGGTAAGTGCTTTCTCTATTTCAATTTTAAAAAAGAAATTCTTGCTCCAAGTCAGTGATTCTCCACCAGGGATAACTGTAATGTACAGAGAACCTTTAGTAATGTCTGAAAAAAGCATCTTGACCCACAGAGGACATTTAGCAACATCTAGATGCACTTTTGGCTGTCACAACTAGAGGTACAGGTACTATTGGCATCTAGAGATAGAGGCCAGGGAAGCTTCTAAACATCCTATAATTCAGACTCCTCTTGCCTGAACATGAAGTACACTTGGGGCAATAAAAGAAATCACCTCAAATCTTGCTGTGCGCCCCTCTGCGCCGGAGCCGGCGCCGTGCCCCTCTCTGCGCCTTCTTTTCTCACCATGGGGAAGCGTTTGGGGTCGTCTTGAGGGACCCCCTAGATGCTTCTACTCAGAGCCCCCAAAGCCGGGGAGCCTCCACTCCTCTGTCTGCAGCCTCCCCTGTCGGTTCTCGCTACCCAGGGTTCAGTGGCCTGGGGGCTGACGGAGGTGGTCGCCTCTGCCAAGGCCCCTCCCGGCACCTCCCTGGCTCATCCAGGCCACCTTCCTCCCACCTGGCTCACGTAAAGTGCTCTGGTCACCAGGAGCCCTTCCTGACCAGCCCCGGCCCCTTCTTGGCCTTCGCCCACCTGGCCTCCCCTGGAGCCCTGACCTGGGTGCCGGGCCTGCTGGGTCCAGAGCCCACCCCGCCCTGAACAACCCCGAGTCTCAGCCACCCTCAGCTCTTACCCTTTCACAGCTGGAGAGTGGAGCCTGGGCCTGCGCCTCTCTGCGCCTGCGCCGCCGCTGTGCCCCTCGCCGCCGCTGTCCGCCTCTCCGCCGCGCCGCCGCTGACCGCCTCTCCGCCGCGCCGCCGCTGTCCGCCTCTCCGCCGCGCCGCCGCTGACCGCCTCTCCGCCGCGCCGCCGCTGTCCGCCTCTCCGCCGCGCCGCCGCTGTCCGCCTCTCCGCCGCGCCGGCACCGGCGCTGTGTGCCTTTGCAAGGGCGGAGCTGCGTTCTCCTCGGCACAGACCCGGAGAGCATTGCGAGGGCGGAGCCGCGTTCTGCTCTGCACAGACCTTGGGGCACTGCCTCGCTTTGGGACAACTCGGGGCCGCATCGACGGTGAATAAAATCCTTCCTGTTTGCAGCCCTGTTTGTGGTTGGTGGCAGCGATGGACACTGCAGCCAGCCAGAGCGTAGAAAGGCATCGGGGTAAGTGCACTATCCAGGCTGCACTGCGGGTGGCCTGGGACGGGTTGGGAGCCCTATCTCAGGTGTCACTGCCCATCTTGGGTGGCTGGTTGGGTGTGCTATCTGGGGCTGTGCTGCCTGCACCGGGGGGTGGTTTGGGGGCCCAAACCGGGGCTGCACTGCCTTTGGCGGGGAGCCGGTTGGGGGCACTATCCCAGACTGTATTGCTGGCAACAGTGAGGTGGGCTAAGTGTGCTATCCAGGGCTGCACTGTGCGGCTGTGGGGGGTGGGGTGGCGGTTTCGGTTGAGGGCGCTATGGGGTGCTGTAATGCCCATGGTCCAGGGAGGCGGGGCAGTTTGGGTATGTTGGGTGTGCTATTGGGGGGGGCGACACTGCTGGTGGTAGGGGGCAGGGTGGGTTGGGGGCCATATCAGGGGCTGCACTGATTGCTTTAGCTAGGATTTCAGGTACTATGTTAAACAACAGTGGTGACAGGGGGCATCCTTATCATGTTCCAGATCTTAGAGGAAAAGCTTTCCATTTTTCCCCATTCCATATGATTCTAGCTGTGGGTGTCTTTCCTGTAGTTTTTATTATGTTGCGGTATGTTTCTTTTGTGCCTGTTTCTTTGAGGATTTATAGCATGAAGGGATGTTGAATTTCATCAAATGCTTTTTCGGTTTCAGTTGACGTGATCATACTGTTTTTGTCATTTATTTGGTTGATATGATGTATCACATTGTATGTTGAGTGACTCTTGCATCCCAGGGATACATCCCACTTGATCATGATGAATTATCTTTTTAATGTATTACTGAATTTGATTCACTGGTATTTTGTTGAGGATTTTTGCATCAATATTAGAGATACTGGCCTGTAGTTTCCTTCTTTGATGCTTTTATCTGATTTTTGTATCACAGTAATAATGGTCTCATAGAATAAGTTTGGAAGTATTCCCTCCTGTTTTTCAAAATAGTTTGAGCAGGATTCGTACTAGGTCTTTAAATTGTTTGCTGTGAAGCCATCAGCAGTGAAGACATCAGTTCCTGGGCTTTTCTTTACTGGGAGACTTTTTCTGATGGCTTCAATCTCATTACTTGTTACCAATCTGTTCTGGTCTTGGATGTTTTCATTGTTTAACCTAAGTAGGTTGTATGCATCTAGGAATTTGCCAATTTCTACTAGGCTTTCCAATTTATTGGCATATAATAGCCAGTTATGATCCTTTGAATTTCTGAAGTATTAGTTGTAATGTCTCCTTTTTTTAATCTGTTGATTTTATTTATTTGAATCTTGTCTCTTTTCTTAGGCTGGTTAAAAGTTTGTCAATTTTGTTTAGCTTTCCAGAAAACCAACTTTTCGTTTAATCTTGTGTGTTTTTTATTTCAATTTTGTTTCTGCTACGATCTTAGTTATTTTCTTATTTTTGGTTTAGTTTGTTCTTACTTTACTAGTTCTTTAAGATGTATTGTTTATTTGAAGTTTTTCTTTTGTTTGGATGGTAGGCACTTATAGCTGTAAATCTCTGCCTTTGTACTGCTTTCTGCGTAACAAGTCTTGGTATACTGTGTTTTCATTACCCTTTGTTT
This sequence comes from Homo sapiens, assembly GCF_000001405.40. NCBI lineage: Eukaryota > Metazoa > Chordata > Mammalia > Primates > Hominidae > Homo > Homo sapiens. The sequence continues at coordinate 25,111 of NT_187380.1, forward strand.
CATGAAATTTTTGAATTTCTGTGTTAGTATCTTCATTGACCCGCTAGTCATTTATTCAGGAGGGTAGTATTTAACTTCCATGTGATTGTATTGTTTCCAAAATTACTTTTCTTATTGATACCTAGTTTTATTCCTTTGTAGTGAAAGAAGATGGCCACAGAGACAGACAGCAGCGTGGTTAGAGTGGTAGGAGCCGGCCATCAGCGAGAGCTGCTCCATGCCTGGCTGCTGGGTGCTAGAGCCTGCAGCCCACTGGCTTGCCTCACTGTGGTTGGTGGTGGCAGTAACAGAGACTGCAGCACAACCAGAGTGGTAGGACAGGGGCTATCCAGGGCTGCACCTTTCGCAGTGTGGGGTGGGTTGGGGGCGCTATCCAGGGTGTCATTGCCTGCATTAGGGGTACTGGTTGGTAGCACTCCACAGGGCTGCACTACCCACGGCAGGGAGGGTGTGTTATGGGTGCTTTCTGGGGCTGCAGTGCCCATGGAGGAGGACAGGTTAGGGCACTATCGGGTATACGCTACTGGCGGCATTGGGGGACGGAGGTGGGGGGCGCTATTGAGGGCAGGACTAGCCGTGGAGGGCGGGCGAGTTCGGTGCTATCAGGGGCTGCACTGCTGGCGGCGGTCAACAGAGTTGGCATCCAAGGAAGGAGTGGTTCTCCTCTCCCTGACTCCACACTCCAGAGGGCAACCCACTCTTGGTCATACTGGAGTGTGGCAGGGCACGCAGCGTTTGCATGGGAATCCTGAGCATGGCAGAGCCCCCACACCCACCGTGGTTCCTGGGCCTATGCACTCTGGGTCTGTGCCTCAGAGGCTGCCAGGCACCCCTGGGGACACCACGGGGGACAGGGCCCTGTGCGTGGAGGTGTCCGGAACAGGAATTGGCACCTGGGTGTGGAGGGCTGGCTGGGTCTGAATTTTTCTGCTTCTCCTGTTCCCCGAGGAGTGCAGCCCCGGTGGGCCCAATGGTTCCTGTGGAGTGGGGAGCTGGAATCTGTGGTGTCTCCAGCACCCACCCCAGACCCCAGTTCCCAGACAGCTTGGGCCAAAAGGAGAGGCTGGACTTTGGAGGGTGGGTGTGAGTGCCTTTGCTGAAACTGGCCCCTGCCACCCAGTGGCTGGCATGACAAGTTGAGGCTCTAACCCTTCCACTCCTCACAACTTCCTCTAGGCTTTTCTGGCTTTGCCCGCCCAGCTGCTCCGTGCCAGGAAGAGGAGGAGACACCTAGAGCCTGCAACACCATGGCTCGCCTCGCTGCAGGTGGATGGCAGTGACGGAGACTGCAGTGCGCCAGAGCGGTAGGAGAGCGGCCGCGCTAGGAGGGCAGGCGGCTGCAGGCAGGGTTGGGAGTCAGGCTTACAGCGATGGATGGGCTGCAGCAGTGGCCAGGTAGTAGGAGCCTTGTAGGGAGGGCTGGTGCATTGGCAATGGGCCTGGCTTTGCCCTGCGCCTGCCGTGGATCTGGCCCTGTACTGCCCTGCCTTGCCCTGTACCTGCCCTACTGTTACCTGGACTGTCTCGGCCCTGTCCTGCTCTGGTCCCATCCTGACCCTGTCTTGGCCCTGTGCTACCCTGTCCCTGCCCTGGTCTTGCCCTGGCACTGGCCCTGCCCTGAACCTGCACTGGCCTGACCTTGGCTCTGGCCCTGGCTCTGGCCCTGCCCCTTGTCCTGACCCTGGTCCTGTCATGGCACTGGCCCTGCCAATGGTCATGGTCCTGCCCCTGTTCTGGCCCTGACCTGGCCTTGGAAATGTCCTGGCCCTGCTTTGGCCCATCCCTGCCCTGGCCCCACCATGGGCCTGCCTGTTCTGCCCTCTCCTGGCACTGACCTTGCCCTGTCATGGCCCAGTGGTGCCATTGCCCTGCCTTACCCTGCGCTGGTTGTGCCTTGGCCCCGCTTGGTGCTGGCCGCTCCCTGGACCTGCCCTGACCCTGCCTTGGCTTTTGCCCTGCCCTCACTATGGCCTGGCCCTGGCCCTAGCCCTGGTCCTGCCATATCCCTGGCCCTGCCCTTATCCAGGCCTTGCCCCTGCTGCTGCCCTGGCCCTGGCCTGGAACCTGGTCCTGTCAAGGACCTGCCCTGACTCTGCCATGGCCCTGGCCCTGCTCTGCCTTGTTCCTGGCCCTGACCCAGACCCAGACCCATTCCTGGCTCTGCACTGGCCTTTCCCTGGCCCTGAGCTGGCAGTGGTCTGCCCCTGGTCTTGCCATCACCCTGCCCTGCTGTGCTCTGGATGTGTCATCACCCTGCCCTGCCCCTACTCTGCCTTTGACCCTGCCCTGGCCTTACCTTGGCCCTCACCCTAGTCTTCGCTAGGCCCAGCACAGACCTGGCTCTGACCCTGGCCGAGCACAGACCTGGCTCTGACCCTGGCCCTGGTCTTTGTCCTGCCATAGCCTTGGCCCTGAAGTGGACTTGGAGGTGTCCTGGCCCCGGTGTAACATGGCTCTTCTTTGGCCTGTCTCAGCCCTGCCCCTACCATCGCCTTGCCCTGCTCTGCCCTGCCCCAGTACTGACCCGGCCACGCTATTTCCCTGCCCTACCCTGCCTTGGCTGTGCCCTGGCTCGGTTCTGGCCCTGGCCCCGGCCCTGCCCTGGACATGCTCTGACACTGCCTCAGCCTTGGCACTAGCCTGGCTCTTTCTTGGCATCAGCCCTGCTCTCTCTGTGGACTGGCTCTTGTCCTTTCCTGCCCTGGCCATACCATGCCCTGCCCTGCCCTGCCCTGACTCAGCCCTGACTCAGCCTTGGCCTTGGCATTGCCCCTGGTCCTGCCATATTTCTTGCCCTGTCCCTACCCTAGCCTTGGCCCTGACCCTTACCTTGCTGTGGCCCTGCCCTTGCCCTAACGCAGCCCCTGGTCCTGTCATGGCCCTGCCCTGGACCTGTCCTGGCCCTGGTCCTTCCCTGCTTGAGACCTTGCCCTGGTTCTCCCCTGGCCCTGACCCTGAAATGCCTGGCCCTACCCTGGCCTTGCACTGCTCTGGCCCTTGCCCTGACTCTGGTCCTGTCACTGACCTAGCCCCAGCCCTGTTGCTGGTCTTACCATGGCCCAGACCCTGCCTTGGCCCTGCCCTGACACTGTCCTGGACCCTGGCTGTGCCAAGAACCTGTACTGTCCTTGCCCTTGTTGTGCTCCTGCCCCGAACCTGGTCCTTCCCAGGCCATGGCCGTGGCCCTGGCCCTGGCCCTGCCCAGGTCTTGGCACTGGCCTGGCCCTGCCCTGCCCTGGCCCTATGCTTTCCTGGCCCTGCCTTGGCCCTAGCCTGGCTTTGACCCTGCCCTGGCCCTACCTTGGCCTTCACCCTAGCCTTACCTGGGCACTGTGTTTGACCTGGCTATAGCACAGACCTGGTTGTGGCCCTGGCCCTGCCGTGGCCCTGTCCCAGACCCTAGCCCTGCCAGGTACCTGTCCTGGCCCAGCTCTGGGCCTGGCTTTGTCCCTGGTTCTTAGATGACCCTGGCCCTGCCCCTGCCCTTGCCCTTGCCATGGCACTGGCCTTGGACATGTCCGTGGTCCTAACCCTGGCCCTGCCCTGGAGCTGCCACTGTCTTGGCCCTGCCCTGGCTCTGGCCCTGCCCCAGCCCTGGCCCTGCCCCGGCCCCAGCCATAGACCTGCCCTGGTTGGTCGTTCCCTACCTTAACCCTGTGCTACCCTGGGCCTGCTCCACCCTGCCCTGGCCCTGCCCTCCCTTTGGGCCTGCTCTGACCCCGCCTTGGCCCTCACACTGGCCCTAGCACAGACCTGGTCCTATCTGTGGCCTTGCTCTGGCATTGACCCCTGTTCCTGACCCTGGTCCTGCCATGGCCCTGGCCCTGCCAATGACCCTGGCCCTGAACTGGCCCTGCCCTGACCTGGCCCTGAAGTGGATTTGCAGGTGTCTTGTCCATGATTTAACCTGGTCTTACCATGGCCCTGTCCCTCCCCTGGCTCTGTCCTGGTCTTGTGCTGACCCTGACCCAGACCTTGGCCCTGCCCCAGCCTTGTCCTTGACCTGGCCATGCCCCTGCCTCTGCCCTGGACCGGCACTGGCACTGGCATGGACCCTGGCCCTGGCCCTTCACTACTTAAGGCCATACCCTGGCCCAGCCCTGGTCCTGACCCTGTCCTGGCCCTAGCCCCGTTGCTGGTCCTGCCATGGCCCTTGTCCTGACATTGCCCTTTCCTGGTTCTGGCCCTGGCCCTGTCCCAGCCCTGCTCTGGCCCTGGTCTGAACCCTGGCCCTGCAATAGACCTGCCTTGGTCCTGCCCACACCCTGGCTCTGGCCCTACCTCTGCCCTGGCCATACCCTTGCCCTGGCCTGGACCCCAGTCCTGGTCCTTGTCCTGCCCCAGCCATGGCCCTGGCCCTGCCCTGCCTGTGCCCTGTTCTATCCTGGGCTGGCCCTGCCATGACCTGGTCTTGCCATTGCCCTGCCCTAGCCTGCCATGCTTGTGCCCTAGATCTGCCCCGCTTGTGCCCTAGATCTGCCCCAGCCTTTGCCCCTGTCTTGGTTCTAACCTTGACTCAGCCCTGGACCTTCCCTGACCTTGCCTCAGCCCTGGCACTACCCTGGCCTTGCCTTGGCATTTGCCCTACCCTCTCTATGGCCTGGCTGTGGTCCTGCCCTGCTCTGCTCTTGTTCTGTCCTGGCACAGCCCTGGCCCTGGCCGTGGCCCTGCTGTATCACTGGCTCTGGTCCTGCCCTTATGCAGACCTGACCCTGCCACTGCCTTGGCTTTGGCCTGGACCTTGGCCATACAGTGACCCTGCCATGACCCTTTCCTGGCCCTGGCCTGGAACCTGGCCCTGCCAAGGACTCGCCCTGGCTCTGTCATGGCCCTGGCCCTTTCCTGGATTTGGATGTGTCCTGTCCCTTATTTGCCCCGGCCCTTCCCTGGCTCTGCCATACCCCTTCTCTGGGGTAGGGCCAGGGTCAGGACCAGACCAGGGCAGGGTCAGGACCAGGGTAGGGCCATGGTAAGGCCTGAAGATGGGAAGGGCCAGGGCAGCGGCTGGACCAGGGAAGGGTCAGGTCCAGGGATGTAGTAGGACTAGGGGCAGAGCCAGCACTAGGGCTGAGCCAGGGCAGAGCAGGAGAGATTACTTTAGGCTATTATGTAAAATTTTTATTTTAGATTTTTAAGATAACTATAGTAGTAGTAATGTCTATACTATGTTGTTTGTAATAGTAATAATATTTGTAGTAATCACTAAATTTTAACTAATACTATCTTTGCTTCCAGTAGTGTTCTATGAGTATAATTTTATCAACATGTAAATATGTGAGGCATTGATTCTCACAATAATTCTATGTGCTAGGTACTTAAAGCATCTCCATTTTCCAAATGTAGGAAACAGGCATAAAGAAGTTAAATACTTGGCCAGATTACTCCTGTAATCCCAGCACTTTGGGAGGCCAAGGCAGGCAGATGGCTTGAGCTCAGGAGTTTGGAACCAGCCTGGGCAACATTGTGAAACCCCATCTCTACTAAAAATGCACAAAAAGAACTAATTTAAGTTTCTTGTAGGATTCTGGTTATAAAACACTGGTCAAACACACAGGGCATGGATAGGGCAGGGCCAGGGACAAGGTCAGGCCAGGAAGGGGCCAGGGCCAAGGCAGGGCCAGAGCTGGAATTGGAGGTGTCCTGGTCTGATTTGCCCTGCCCCGACGTTGGCCCAGCCCTGCTCTGGCACGTCCTGTCATGCCCTGTCCCTGGCCTGAGCATTGGCCCTGTCCCTGTCCTGCTTCTGGCCCTGCCCCGGAGTTGACCAGGCACTGCCATGGCCCAGTCCTGCATTGCCCTGCCCTCCTCTGCCCTGGTGCTACCATGGCCCTGCTTGGGCCCTAGCTCTGCCTCGACTCTGGACCTGCCCTGACTCTGCTCAGCCCTGGATCTACCCTGACTCTGCCTTGGTGTTGCCCTCCCATCTCTATGGCCTGGCTCTGGCCATGCCTTGCACAGGCCATGCTCTGCCCTGCATGCCCCAGCCTGGGCCCAGCCCTCATCCTACCATATTCCTGACCCCAGCCATACCCTTGTTCTGGCCATGACCCTGCCATGGCCCTCTCCTGGCCCTTCCTTGGTCCTGCCCTGCCCTTCCATGCCCTGGCCTTGCCCTCACCCTGCATTGGCCCTGCACTGGTCCTGCCCTGCCCTGGCACTGCCTTGGCCCCGGCCCTGCCTTCTCCCTGGCCTTGCCTTTGCCCTGCCCTGGCCTGACCCCAGGCCTACCGAGTCCATGAAATGACCCTGGACCTGCCTTGCCATCCTCTGTCCTGGCCCTGTATTGTCCCCACCATGCTCTGGTCCAGCACTTGCCCTAGCCCTGTTGCTAGTCCTGCCACTGCTATGGCCCTGCTCTGTTTTTGGCCATGCGCTGTGCTACCCTAGCCCTGCCCTGCCTTGGCCTTGGCCCTACCATGGCCTTCTCCTACCCTGGCCTGGCCGTACACTGGCCTTTTCTACCCTGGCCTTGCCCTTCCCTGGTCTTGGCCTGCCCTGGCCTTGCCCTGCACTGGCCTTGGCTTTGCCTTATCCTGGTCCTGGTTCTGCCCTGACCCTGGCCTTGCTCTGGCCCTGTCCCTGGCCCAGCCTTGACCCTGACCCTGGCCCTGACAATCCCCAGGTCTGACACTGGCCATGCTTGGCCCTGGCCCCTCCTTTTGGCCCTGCCCTGTCCCTGCCTTGGCCCTGTGCTATCTTAGTCCTGCCCTGGCCCTGAACTCGCCCTGGCCCTACCCTCACCCTACACTGGCCCCGCCCTACCCTGGCCTTGCCCTGCCCTGGCCCTGCCTTTGGCCTGCTGTGGCTCTGGTTCTGCCCTGGCCTTGCCCTTGCCCTGGACTCTCCCTGGCCATGTTTTTTCCATGGTCCTTCTCTGGCCTTGCCCTTGCCCTGTCCTCTTTCTGGTCCTGCCATGTTTCTGGCCCTGCCCTGTCCATGTCCTGGACCTGACTCTGGCCCTGGATCTCCCTGTCCCTGCCCTGCCATACCCTGGCCTGTTCCTTGCTCTACACTGACCCTGCCCTGCCTTGGCCCTGTGCTACCCTAGCTCTGCCCTGACCTTCTGCTGACCCTGATCCTGCCATGGCCCTGGCCCTGCCATGTCCCTGTCCTGGCCCTGGTTCTGCGCTGCTTCTGGCCCTAGCCTTAGTCCTCTCATGTCCCTGGCTGTGACCCTGCCCCTGGTTTTTCTCTGGCCATGACCCTGCCCCAGTTCTGTCCTATACCTGGCCCTGTCTCAGTTCTGTCCTAGCCCTGGCCTTTCACAGTACTTTATGCCTAGTAAGGGCTCCATGGTGTCTGTGAGTTGAATGTTGTGTTCATAGTATCTGCCAAAACAGAAAGAAAAAAACGAAATATTTTGATAAGAAGTTAAAGCTTTGTATATAATATGCCTTGAATTGTAAGTGCCTGTTATTAGTTGTATTACATATAGGTCATGGTTTTGTACACATAACTCCAAACCATTGATACTGTTAAAAGAATATATGAATATATGAAAGAATGTGTAAACGTAAGAATGTATCAGTATCTAATGACCTTTCCAAATTAATTTTTATTTTTAGCTCTATTAGATTTTTCTCAGTGTAACAAATGTTTATTCCTATGTAATTAAGGGCGTATTTCCTGTCCAGAATATTCATATTACCTAATTGAAAATTATATGATACAAAAATATAATACTATTTTTAGGCCAGGCATGGTGGCTCATACCTGTAATCCCAACATTTTGAGAGGCCAAGTTTGGAGAATCATTTGAGTCCAGGAGTTGACCAGCCTGGGCAACATAGTGAGACCTTGTCTTTATTAAATAAATAAATAAATAAATAGGTTGGGCACTGTGGCTCATATCTGTCATCCCAGCATTTTGGGTTGCCAATGCAGGAGGATTGCTTGAGCCCAGGAGTTTGAGACCAGCCTGGGCAGAATAGCAAGACTCCATCTCTACAAATAATAAAATATTAACCAGGTGTGGTGGTGCACACCTGGGGTCCCAGCTACCTGGGAGGCTAAGATGGGAGGTTTGCTCGAGGTTGCAGTGAACTGTGAATGCACCACTGCATTCCAGCCTAGGCCACAGAACAGGACCTTGTCTATAAATAAAGAAATAAGTAAAAATATAAATAAAAATAAGTAAAAATAAATATAAGTAAATATAAATATAAATACATATAAATATAAAAATGCATACATGAAAAGAAACAATTTTTAAATTTAACATCACTGAGGGCATCCTATCCATTTCATTTCATGATTCCATCACATCATTTCACTTAGATGAAATGATAAGATGACTTGAGATGAGATGAAATGATGAGATGAAATGACAAAATGATGAGATGAGATGAGAAGATGAGATGAAATTTTGAGATGAAATGGTGAGTAGAAATGATGAGATGAAATTATGAGACGAAATGACAAAATTGAAAAGAAATTGAAAGGAGATGAGATGAGTTAAAATGAGATGAAATGATGAGATGATGGATGAAATGATGAGATAAAACGAGCCATGAAATGATGAGATGAAATGAAATGAAATAATGAAATGATATGAAATAATGAAATTGAAATGAGATGAGATGAGATGAAATGAGATAAAATGATGAGATGAAATGAGATGAATGATGAGATGAAATGATGAGATGAAATGAGATGAAAAATGATGAGACGAAAAATGAGATTAAATGAAATGAAATAATGAAAGGAAATTATGAAATGTAATGATGAAATTGAAATGAAATTGAAATGAGATGAGTTGAAATGATGAGATGTAATGATGAAATGAAATGATGAAATGAGATGAAATAATGGGATGAAATGAGATAATGAGATGAGATGAAATCATGAGATGAAATGATGAAATGAAATGATGTATGAAATGATGAGATGAAATGAGATGAAATGTAATGAGATGAAATGAAATGACATAATGAAATGAAATAATGAAATGAAATGAAATAATGAAATGATGAAGTAATGAAATGAAAATGAAATGGAAATGATGAGATGAGAAGAAATGATGAGATGAAATGATGAGATGAGATAAAATGAGATGAAATGATGAGATGAAATGAAATGATGAGATGAGATGAAATATGATGAGATGAAATGACATAATGAATGAAATGATGAAATGGAATAATGAAACGGAAATGATGAGATGAGATGCAATGAGTTGAAATGAGATGAAATGATGAAATGATGAGATGAAATGATATGAGATGTGATGAAATGATGACATGAAATGATGACATAAAATGAGATGAAATGAGATGTAATGATGGAATGAGATGAGATGAAATGAGATGAAATGATGAGGTGAGATAAAATAATGATATGAAATGATGAGATGAATGACGAGATGAAATGAGATGAATGATGAAATGAAATGATGAGATGAGATGATGAGATGAAATGATGAGATGAGATAAAATGAGATGAAATGATGAGATGAAATGAAATGATGAGATGAGATGAAATATGATGAGATGAAATGACATAATGAATGAAATGATGAAATGGAATAATGAAACGGAAATGATGAGATGAGATGCAATGAGTTGAAATGAGATGAAATGATGAAATGATGAGATGAAATGATATGAGATGTGATGAAATGATGACATGAAATGATGACATAAAATGAGATGAAATGAGATGTAATGATGGAATGAGATGAGATGAAATGAGATGAAATGATGAGGTGAGATAAAATAATGATATGAAATGATGAGATGAATGATGAGATGAAATGAGATGAATGATGAAATGAAATGATGAGATGAGATGAGATGATGAGATGAAATGATGAGATGAACTGATGAGATGAAATGAAATAATGAAATGAAATTGAAATAAAATTGAAATGAGATGAGATGAAATGATAAGATGAGATGATGAAATAAAATGATGAAATGATGAGATGTGATGAGATGAAATGATGAGATGAGATGAGATGACATGAAATAATGAAATGAAATAATGAAATGAAATTGAAATGAGATGAGAAGATACGAGATGAGATGAAATGATGAGATGAAATGATGAAATGATGAGATAAGATGAAAAGAGTTGATGAGATGAGATGAAATGGGATGAAAAGAGATGAAATGATGAGATGAAATGAAATGATGAGATGAAATGAGGTGAAATGAAATTAGACGAAATGTAATGAGATGAAATGAAATGACATAATGAAATGAAAAAATGAAATGACATAATGAAATGAAAAAATGAAACGAAATAATGAAATGAGGTGAAATTAAATGAGATGATGAAATTAAATGATGAAATGAAATAATGAAATGGAAATGAAATGGAAATGAGATGAAATGATGAGATGAATGATGAGATGAAATGATGAAATGCAATGATGAGATGAAATGATGAAATGAGATGAGATGAGATGTAATGATGAGAGGAAATGATGAGATGTAATGAAATGAGATGAAATGAATGAGATGAAATGAAATAATGAAAGGAAATTGAATTGAGATATGAGATGAAATGATGAGATAAAATGAGATGAAATAAATGATGAGATGAAATGATGAAATGCTGAGGTGAGATGAGATGAAATGAGAAGATGAAACGATGAGATGAAATGAAAGGATGAGATGAAATGATGAGATGAAATGATGAGATGAGATGAGATGAAATGAGATGAAATGAGATGAAATGATGAAATGAGATGAGAAGAAATGATGAGATGAAATGAGATGAGATAAAATGATGAGATGGAATGAAATGAAGTGAAATGAAATGAAATAATGAAATTGAAATGAGATGAGATAAAATGATGAGATGGAATGAAATGAAGTGAAATGAAATGAAATAATGAAATTGAAATGAGATGAGATGAAATGAGATAAAATGATGAGATGAAATGATGAGAAGAAATGAGATGAAATGATTAAATGATGAGATGAGATGATGAGATAAAAAATGATGAGATGAAAAATGATGAGATGAAATGAGATGAATTGAAAGGAAATAATGAAATAATGAAATGAGATGAAATGAAATGATGAAATGATGATACTGAAATGAAATTGAAAGATAAGATGAAATGATGAGATGAAATGTTGAAATGAAATGATGAAGAGATATGACATGAAATGATGAGCTGAAATGATGAGATGAAATGAAATGAAATGAGATTAAATGATGAGATGAAAAATGATGAGATGAAAAATGATGAGATGAAATGATGAGATGAAATGAGATGAGATGAATTGAGATGAGATGAGATGAAATAATGAAATTAGGTGAAATAATGAAATGAGATGAAATAATGAAATAAAATTGTAATGAGATGAGAAGAAATGAGATGAAATGTTGAAAAGAAAGGAGGAAATGATGAGATGAGATGAAATGAGATGAAATGAATTGAGATGAAAAATGGTATGAAAAATGATATCAAAAATATGAGATGAAATGAAATGAGATGATATGAAATGACATAATGAAATAAGTGAAATTAGATGAAATGAAATAGTGAAATGAAATGATGAAATGAAATAATGAAAATTAAATGGAAATGGGATGAGATGAGATTTGATGAAATGATGAGATGAAATGATGAGATGATATGAAATGATGAGATGAGATGGGATAAGATGAAATGATGAGATAAAATGATGAGATGAAATGATGAGATGAAATGATGAGGTGAAGTGATGCACTGTCACGTGTGTGTCTTTTTCCCAACCAACAAAAATTATAATTCATTAATTTTATTTTATTATTTAAGAGTATTCTTAAGAGTTGAAGGAAAAATAATATCTGTACATTATGGGTTACAATTAAGTATAAATAATACATAAATATATTAAAACTTACAAAGAATATGTTTCAGAATCGAATATACCATGCTTCTGTGATGACAGTTATTTCATGCTGGTTGTCACAATTTTACATGAAAAACTAATGAAAAAATGTTTTTAACTGTTTCTAAAAATAACTGTTTCCAAAACAGTTTTACATTCAAAATATGAAAAAGATGTATTTGTGTTCCTTAATCTGATGAGATTTTCACACTCTGCACATAATTGTTAGATTTTTATTGTGTTGATAAATTGTATATCAAATAAAAAATGTTATTACCTCTTAAATTAGGATTTTTAGGTGATATAGGCAGAAAGGAAGGCAAGTTTTTATAACTTTGTCTAAATGAACTTTCTAAATGCCTGAGTATTAAAAGATAGCATGTCTATAAATCACAATATATATATTACTGTATGACGTAGGACAAATCAAAACCATTACCTCTGATAACATTATATTGTGCCCAGTATAAAATAGATATAATAATACCTCAAACTTAAATCCAGGCATTGTCATTGAATATCTTAAGAATATGCAGCAAAGGTGCTTTTAAAAATACAAGCTAGTGATTGTACTAAATTTGTAAATCACATAGGATAGTGGGTCATTTTAAGAATATTATTTCAATCTATAAACGTGGATGTCTTTCCTTTTTTGTGTTTTCTTTAATTTCTTTCATTAATATTTGTCATTTTTGTTGTCAAAATCTTTTACTTCCTTGGTTAAATTTATCTCTAAGTACATTTTTGTAGCTATTGTAAAAGGAATTACTTTCTTAATTTCTTGTTTCAGCTAGTTTACTATCAATATGTAGAAATGCTACTGATTTTTGTATGTTGATTTATATCCTGCAACTTTATTAATTTCATGTATCACCCTAAGAAGCTTTTGGTAGAGTCTTATTTTTTTCCATGTATAAGATCACATTGTCTTTAAACAGGGACAATTTGACTGTCTCCTTTCCAATTCAGATGTCCTTTATTTCTTTCTCTCACCTAATCGTCCTGGCTAAGACTTTCACTATGTGAAATATGATTGGTGAAAATAGACATCCTTTTCTTGTTCCAGTATAATCTTTTTCTTGTTCACAGTAAAATCTTTCACCTTTTCCACACTCAGTATGATCTTAGCTGTAGATTTGTCCTTTATGTCCTTTGTGTCAAGGCATATATTTTCTATACTAAATTGATGAGAGGTTTTTTGTCATGTAAGAATATTTAATTTTGCCAAACGCTTTTATTGTGTTTGTTAATTTAACCATATGGTTTTCACTATATATCCAAAGGAAAGAAAATCAGTATATCAAAGAGTTACCTGCACCCCCATGTTTATTACAGCACTATGCACAGTAGCCAAGATATGGAATCAACAAAAGTGTCCATCAACAGATGAATGGATAAAGAAATGTGACATACATATATAATGGAATATTATTTAGTCATAATAAAGAACAAAATCCTGTTATTTGTGGCAACAAGAATGCAAGTGGAGGGCATTATGTTAGGTGAAATAAGCCTGGCATAGAAACATAAACACCACATAACTACGTGTTCTCACTTATGTATGGAAGCTAAAATTTTTAATCTCGTAGAAATAGATAGTAGAGTTTTGGTTACCATATCCTGGAAAGAGTAGGAGACAGAAGAGTATAAGAAAAATGTGGTTAATACATACAAAATTACAGCTGGAGAGAAGGAAGAAGTTCTAGTTCTCTACAGCACTGTTGGGTGACTGTAGTTAATGGGAATTTATTGTGTGTTTTCAAACAACTAAAATAAAAGATTTTGAATATTCTCACTGCAAAGAAATAATACATGATTTAGATAATGGATATGATAATGACTCTGACTTGATCTTTACGCATTGCATAAATATATCAAAATATCACTCTGTAACCCATAACATGTACATTTATTATATGTCAATTAAAGTAAATTTAAAAGAGGAAAGATGAGGTAAAGGTAAATGTACACAATTTAATTGCTTTTTCTTCTATAAAACCCGAGTCAGTACCAAGAAGAGTCAATTTATTAGTTTTCTAAAATAAAAAAAAATCAAAATCACCAAAAAAGAGCAATATCCAAGAAAACATTGAAAATGAAACACAACATTTAGTAAGAATAGAAAACTTGGGCACTGTATCACCCTGTTCCTAGATACCGATTTACTGATGACCATTTAAATAGAATTTTATTCTATCTAATTCATTTATACTCCCAGAGTTCGAAATTACATTTTACCTACAATAAATGAGATAACACTTTAAATTATATGGTACTCTGCCTAACACACGTTAATAACTCAATACATGTTAGCAATAAACTTTTAGTATAGTAGTCAAAGTATTAATTTCTCACATTGCAATTTCCTTCAAAGACATGAATACAACCTTTCTAATGACTCCTTGTTCATCAAGATACCTCTTCAAATTATTCTATTTGTTTCATTCAGTATATTGTCTGTGCATACCGATATTACACTCTTTTCTTTTTTTGAGATGGAACCTCATTCTGTTACTGATGCTGGAATGAGGCGGCATGATCTTGGTTCACTGCAACCTCCACCTCCCAGGTTCAAGCGATTCTCCTGTCTCAGCCCCCCAAGTAGCTAGGACTACAGGTGCACACCACCATGCCTGGCTAATTTTTGTATTTTTAGTACAGTCAGAGTTTCACCCTGTTGTCCAGGCTGGACTCGAACTCCTGACCTCAGGTGATCCACCCACCATGGCCTCCCAAAGTGCTGGGATTACAGGCATAAGCCACCGCACCCAGCCTGATATTGCACTCTTGGATTTTGAACACTGAATATCTTTTTGAAAGATTACACCTCTTTACCTCTTCGTGCTTCAGAAATTATTTTCCTTCAAGTGTTCTAAGAGTCTAATGAAGAATGAAGTCATGTTTTATCACTTTTGTCCTTAAAGATTTCAGACATGCTGAAACTGATTGAAGTATCATCTGCTACCCGATAGATTAATTATCTCTAGTTGTAGGAGTGGATACATCTTTAATGGTATATTTTTGGTTATTGTCTTATTTTTGATGTAGTATTCTATCAATAATTTATTAAACCTGGCATCCTTGGGTGAGCATAGATTTTTCAACTTTGGTGTTATATTGTGTTTGCTTTTAAAAACTGCTTTTGAGGCCAGGTATGGTGGCTCTTGCCCATATCCAGCACTTTGGGAGGCCAAGGTGGGCGGATTACCTCAGGTCAGGAGTTCAAGACCAGCCTGGTCAACATGGCAAAACCATGTCTCTACTAAAAACACAAAATTAGCCAGGCATGGTGGTGCATGCTTGTAGTCCTAACCACTCGAGAGGCTGAGGCAAGAGAATCACCTGAACCTGGGAGGCAAAAGTTGCTAGGTTGCTGTGAGGCAAATTCGCACCATTACACTCCAGCCTGGGTGAAAAGAGCAAAACTCTGTCTCAAAAAAAAAAACCCACCAAAAACTGCTTCTGAATGGAATTGTACATACAATTTTGATGAAAAAAATTATCAAGTGCATAAGTTCATAATAGAAAAACCAATAATACTCCAGGCACAAGTTAGTACTAAAAAAATTATGTTGAATATTCTCTAATACAACATGCTTTTTCCCTTCATGAACAATTTGTGTTTTACTGAGAAGAGTCATTGTTTATGGTAGACATTAGACCACAGATGAATATGTACTTTAAACACTCTTAGTTACTTTCTTAATTTTATATCTGCTGCTTCATGCTTCTGTTTATTTTCATTCTTTCCAATGTCCACATTCTAGTAAATTTGAATATTTTAATCCAAGTTTATATACTATTTAATATTGCTTGTATAGTTTAGTATTGTGAAGACTCAAAAAGGTTTACAGAAAGAAGAAAAAGATCAACATGTTATTAATCATTTAAAGATCTTTTGAAATCTTTGACCTTTATATTTTAATGAATAAAATATTAGTAGTTATTAGTATAAAATAATTTATGTCTTTTGGACTTAGCATCCAGTATTTCTTTTTTAATAAAGAAAATAATTATTCTCTTGCAATATACTATGTTTATCTGGGTTTTGAAAAGTGCTGTTTCCTAATATGAGAAAGCCATTTACATTTTTAATTCTACAAAGGCAAATGGAATGGTACTAAATTATTTACATAATAATGTTTAGATGGTGGCCCTTATAACATTCTTTCTATACTTCCTACAGAGTTGCAGATATGCAATCATAGAATATTTCTGGGAGCTAATCCTTTAGCTTGATGAATGAAACAAGACTTTTAAATAAAATTAAACTTTCAAATTATCCAGGTAATGGGCCTGTCTTTTAATTCAATGGATATGGAGCATAATGAATTATCCCTGTTCATTGGGTAATAAGTTTTCATTCTTCTAATACTCAAAATGTCCTTTAATTTTTAATAGTCATATCATTATCCCTAGGTATTTTAGCTTCTATCTTAAATTCTAAAATAATTTTGAAACAGGAGAAAGTATTCTTTATTACTATATGTATTAAACATCATGGTTTTCAAATTTAACTGCAAATGTATCTTTTCATTGCTTCTTGGTGACGCCCTTCACCCTATCCATATTGTCACTACCAAGTGGTGATTACTTTTCAGGTTCACATACTTATTCTTTAGAAAAATCTCTGTGCCTTATAAAGAATATGATTGTTGGCATTCAAAAGCCAGCGAAGTATACATTATTAGCCTGTTGCCTAACTCATTTCTTTAAGAAACTACACTAATTACCCACATACTTATGTTTTTATTTCCTCATTATTTCTGGAGAAAACAAATACTGCTAACATGATATTTGTAAGAGAGAAAAAAGTCTTTTCTTGAAAAGTGCTGTCATTGTAGTACTAACTTATAGTATCAACTTCTTTATAAACTCCTTATACACTTTTTATTCTGAGAGAAATAAAAAAGCTAAAAGTGAAATGACTTTTTTAACTCTCCATATTATAAGCACCCATGTTGGTAATTTAGGGTCTTTATAGTTAGGGTAAGTTGTGTCATACCGAGATTACAAAATAAAAAGTATTTTGTCTCTTTGGGCCTTTCCTTATTCAGTAATACTGTCAGTTTGGCTTTTTTTGTAGGTCAACTTATTGATATCAGTATTCTGAAATAATATGTTTACTATCTTTTGATAAGCATTTAAAATATTAGATTTATTGTTACTCTTCTGCCTTCATTGGGCTGGAAGAATAATTGTTTCTCACTCCACAAAAGCCAAGTTGCAGAGAAAAACACATAGACATTCAACTGCAAAGCAGAGAAACTTGACTATTTCCTGCAATTTTAAAGTGTATATTGAATAAAACCATCTTTTTATTTTCTTTTTTGCTCACTGGCAAATATTAACAATATCAAGTGTGTTATTATAATGTTATCTAGTTAAAAATCTCAAAAAGTTTTCATAATTACCATTTACAAATATATAAATAGGTGACCTAATGTTAATTTTTATTGTCTGAGACCATGTCTGTTATTTCACTCTTTAAATTCAGTTAGTAATGCAGAACCTAGCACTTAGTACTCAAAAATTATGTGCTGGATAAAAAAAGGTTAAACATGTAATATATACAAAATGTACTGGAAAAAATGCACCAAACAATTTTGTTATACCAGTTTAATGTAGAATATTGCCTTTAAAAGATAATATAGTTTTCAGGTGTCTACAGTGATTTTGTAATATTTGTGCACATATAAAATAATATTTCCAAAAATGTAATCCAGTGAGGAAATATACTCTCTAAATTCTAGATTTATAATTTAGGGTTTAAATTATAAAATCATTAAATAAGATACAAGTGAAATATAGTCAAATATCCCCTTGGAAAAAAATTAAGTGGCCTTTAAAGTGAGGTATTCATATATGTAATTTTACAATCCTCTAGTGATAGAATTAATTAAATATGCCACCAAATTGATTAATTCCTACAGTGTTAAAAGAGAAGCACTAACAATACCAGTGACCATGTAACATGGATTTAAGCTACAAGTCATAGAAATGTGACGAGAAGCCTCAGCGCTGTAAAACAGAGGGTGGAAGAAAGCTTTTCCTCTCTCAAATGAGCTTTGCGAGGTATACTTCTTGAAGGATAGGAAGTTGAAGTGTTCAGGACTTTTATGTCTATTCTACTTTGCCTTAGTTTACATGATTCTTAGTTTATTAGCCTAGAAATGGCCAAGAAAACTTAAGGCTCAATAATTAGTTATAAATATGAAATATCCCCAATTTTTAAGATAAAAACAACTTATAAATGTATTTGTCTGTAAAAATTGTGTATATTTTTATAGAACATCTATTTCTTTTTTTCTTTTTTAATTTTTTTATTATACTTTAAATTCTAGGGTACACATGCACAATGTGCAGGTTTGTTGCATATGTATACATGTGCCATGTTGGTGGGCTGCACCCATTAACTCATCATTTATATTAGGCATATCTCCTAATGCTATACCTCCCCCCTCCCCCCACCCCACAACAGGCCCTGGTGTGTGATGTTCCCCTTCCTGTGTCCAAGTGTTCTCATTGTTCAATTCCCACCTATGAGTGAGAACATGCGGTGTTTGGTTTTTTGTCCTTGCGATAGTTTGCTGAGAATGATTGTTTCCAGCTTCCTCCATGTCCATACAAAGGACATGAACTCATCATTTTTTATGGATGCATAGTATTCCATGGTGTATATGTGCCACATTTTCTTAATCCAGTCTATCATTTTTGGACATTTGTGTTGGTTCCAAGTCTTTGCTATTGTGAATAGTGCCGCAATAAACATACGTGTGCATGTGTCTTTATAGCAACATGATTTATAATCCTTTGGGTATATGCCCAGTACTGGGATGGCTGGGTCAAATGGTATTTCTAGTTCTAGATCCCTGAGGAATGGCCACACTGACTTCCACAATGGTTGAACTAGTTTACAGTCCCACCAACAGTGTGAAAGTGTTCCTATTTCTCCACATCCTCTCCAGCACCTGTTGTTTCCTGACTTTTTAATGATCACCATTCTAACTGGTGTGAGATGGTATCTCATTGTGGTTTTGATTTGCATTTCTCTGATGGGTCTATTTCTTTAAAACAAAGGGAGGGGAGTCTCTCATTTACATTAGTTTTTTTCATAGCCTTTTGGACTTTGCAATTTCTATGTTTTGGAACCTATTTCTTACAGTTTTTCTATGCTAAACTCTGTCCTGGTCAGTTCCAGAGTGTATGAAGAACAAAATGATGTAATTGTATGTGACCTGGCTGTAGTGGAACAAATTTGACTCTTAAGTATGCAGGCTCTAATTTTCCTGTCTGGTTTTGGTAAGTATTCCTTACATAGGTTTTTTCTTTGAAAATCTGGGATTGAGAGGTTGATGAATGAAAATTAATCCTTTCACTTTGTTGTATATAAGTTTGCAATAATTAGGTCAGAGTGGAGTTTTAAGGTCACGAAGGAGGCTGATGACTTACAAATAATGGGCTCTGATTGGGCAACTACTCATCTGAGTTCCTTCCATTTGACCTAATTAAGCTTATGAAATTTACACTAAGCCATGAGCTCATCTTTAAAAAGTCTTATTAAAAGATTTTCAGCTGTTCCAAATGGGACTTATTAGTGGAATGTGTTTTAAAGGATCATATGAGATGAATGAAAGGTATTTGATCCTTTCTTTCCATAATAATAAAATGATGGTTTGGAAAAAGAGGCTACAGTCTAACCACAGTGCTATTATTAGGCTTTCTTGTTAAACATAGGTCTAAGCCTAAGTATGTCAATACAACAAATACTTACTGTTTCATTTCTAGTAATGAAAAAAAAAAAACAAGTCTTTCTGGCATAAGGATGATTTTCATCTGGTTATTTTGAAACATTTTTGTAAAATAAGTTTACATCTATAAAGAATATTTTTATTTGTAAGGAGGGGTATGTCTCTGTGCACTGGAAGAGAGGGAGGACTAAATCACTGGGAAGTCTTATGATAAAGAAGCCATTGGCTTAAATCAGCAAAGCAAGCCATCCCTTGGTTTAAGGTGTTTTTCCTGGCCATCCTGTCTTGACTAGAACTTTACCTACACATTCCTTTTTGGTTTAGGCAAATTATAGTATCTAAACCTGAAGTCTCAGCTCTGTGTCTTTGAGATATAAATTTTCTACCATGTCTTCTCTGGAACCTGATAACTATCTATCTCTTTAAAATGCAAGTCTAGGGAGATGACTCATCAGAAAAAGAAGAAAAAGGTATTTGGAAATTGTGCAAATTAAAGCAGCCCATGATGCCAAAGTCTACACATTCCTGAGTGAGTCAGTTCTGGCCAGTTCTAGCTGGATCAAGAGAGCTCTGCTGGGCAGGCCTGAAGAGCAGCTGGATGGCAGACACCTGAGGAGCCAGGTGCCTGAAATTTCCTCCACCTGCTTGAGGAGCGCCAAAGCTCAGGTGCTGGCTAGACAACCCCTTCTGGCTGCCTAAGCAGATGGAAGAGGAAGGAAAAAAGGTCAGAGGCAGAGTGTTGAACCCTGCCTCCCAGGTGGGTGGAAGATGCCTGTCGCCAAACTAGGGCCCAGCTTACCGGGTGAGATGGGTGAACTGGTGATCTCCCGAGAGAGTGGACGTCAGAACTACATGGTCCTGGACTTCACCTAGGCCAGTGAAGGAGAGAGAGGATTAATGTTAACTGCAGGAGGCCCACTCTAGCCTTAAATTTTGTAATTCAAACCCTTTCCTTGGAGACAAAACAAACATGACAAGGAATTCTGAGGTCAGGGGACAAGAATCACAAGTTCCCCAGTGGGAGACTGAGGAGGCAGTGTCCTTTCTGCCCTTGGTCTACTGGCTAAGAACCTTCCTCAGCCTGACCTTTCCACATTGCACTTTCAGCTCTGTTTGCAATTTTCCTCCTGAGGGATTCCTGCTGAGGGAATCCCAGTGTTCGATACTGAAATCTATACGTTCCTAATGGGTGGTTAAAAAAAAAAACCTCAGCAAGAGAAGCAGAAAATGTTTCCTCTTCCTGAAAAACTGTAGAAAGGCAGGCACCATTCTGGGTGGGACATGGTCCTTGCAAAAGTCTTTATGGTTTTTTTTTTTATTTTGAGATGAAGTTTTGCTCTTGTTGCCCAGACTGGAGTGCAGTGGCATAATCTCTGCTCACTGCAACCTCTGCCTCCTGGGTTCAAGCAATTCTCCTACCTCAGCCTCCCGAGTAGCTGGAATTACAGGCACCTGCCACCATACCTGGCTAATTTTTTGTATTTTTAGTAGAGATGGAGTTTTGCCATGTTGGCCATGTTGGCCTCGAACTCCTGACCTCAAGTGAGCCACCCGCTTCTGCCTCCCAAAGTGCTGGGATTACAGGCGTGAGTCACTGTGCCCGGCCAAGATTCTGTTTTGATAGAACACTTGAGTCTCTCTCACCTTGTATTTAGAGAAGTTAGAAAGTAAAAGATAATGTATATAGAAAGCTTTTTGAAAACTCTTAAGAACTTCATAAATATGGGGCACTATGACTACGCATATGAAAATATTTCCTATCAGTTGGCAGTTACCACCTCTTATAGTGGCATGGAACCTCTTGAGTTAAACCAAGACTCAGTGAGATTGGGTGATTTAGGTAGTGTCATTTTATGAACAAGGGGTACCCTACTCAGTTCTTTTATTTTATTATACTTCTCTTTGACATTCACTCCAGTGAAAGAACTCTTTCAAAAGACATCATGCCTGGTCTCACAGAGATTCAAAGGTGTTTGAGTCCTTCCTTATTATGCCCTTGGAAGATGCTTTGAGGACCCCAGTGATGAATCCCAAGAACTCTGTCTCCATTATCCCTGGAATAGGGCACCTCATCACTCTGGTGTTAACCCTGAAGGGCCTTCATAATAATGTGCTTAAAAGAGTCCCCTATTATGTCCTTCAGGATGGAGCTTGACTTGCCCAAATTGCTATGTACATGTTAAAGAGAGGCTGGAACTGAAGTTGGTCATTTCTCACTGGATCAGTCAACAAGGTTTGAGTACTTTCTGTGTGCTCTGCATCATTCTGAGTACAGAATAAGGCATGGCTCCTGCCTTCAAGGAGTATGGAATTTAATAGACGATGACAACATACATGATTGTAAATCTATCTACATGAGAGTGAATAATTGTGAGATTCCTAATAAACGGCAAGATATGTTCTGAAAATGTGAAACATAAATGAGGTTGAAGAAATTGTGAAAGGTTTAGCAGAGGAGGAATAATTCGTCAGGTTCTTTAAATACAAGTAAAGGGGAAAGGAAGGACCATTTTTAAGTTTAGATATTCCAAGGGTTAGTGGTGAGGTGGATTATGGTATGTCTTCTCGTTGATGAGGGTGGAGACTGGCGAATAGTGGAAAATAAAGTTAAATAGTTAGGGTGGGGCCAAATTATGGGTTTTAATAAAAGCCAGACATAGAAATTTAGATTGGGGTGGTAGAAAAATGAAGGCTTTAAACGTTTTTAAGCCAATGAATGACATCATACAAGTTCTATATAAAGAGCAGTGATTTCAGGATGGGAGAGAATGGTATCAGGAAGACCCACTTGAATGCTGGTAACTAATGTTACTAACAGTGCCATTAGTAACATTAATGTTACTAGGGCCTGGACTGATATGCTGATGGAAGTGAGAATGAAGAATAAGGTGGGATGAAAGAGATTTTGACAAGAGTTTTTTAATGAACCTGAAACGGGAAAGGGCGAGATTGACTAAGCCTGCTTGCCATGGACAGCAATGGGGTTGCTAGAAGATTAGCTGTGCGGAAAAAGTTATGCATTTACCTTTGAGCATAATGCAATTGACTCTCCATATTCATGGGTTCTGCATCCACCAATTCAAACAACTGTGGAACAAAATTGTCAGAAAAAACAATACAATGATAAAAAATGATACAAATAAAAAACAACATGGTATACCAACTATTTACATAGCATTTACATCGTATTAAATGTTATTAAGTAATCTAGAGATTATTTAAAGTATCTAGGAGGATGTGTGTAGGTTATATGCAAATACTACACTATTTTATACCAGTAACTTGAGCATCCATGGATTTTGGTATACAAGGGGGATCCTGGAACAAATTCGCCATGCATATCAAAGGATGACTGTATGAGTTATCTGTAAAATGGTTTGGTTGAAATGTTTAGAAAACAGCTAGAAATACAAGACTGGCTGTTGGATGAAAAAAACATAGGACTAGGAAATTCAGGTATGCTAGTCTTTTTGAGTATTGCTTAAAGCCATGGGAAAAGAGCTCTCTGTGAGTTCCAAGACAGATGCAAGGACTGGCATTCATGCACAGCTTCTAGCAGTTAAATCTGAAGAGTTCTTAGTATGCATGTTGACTGAAATTACTTTAGAAGTAATTTTTCTCCTGGTGATAAAAGGCATGTAAGGCTATTTTAGGAAATTGAAAAATGCTAAAAGGTATAAAGAAAAAGAAAAGATAATCATTAATAGTACGTTAGTAAACAAGATTTGACTAAAGATATCACTTTCCTCCCGCTTGTTTTCTTTTTCTTTTTCTTTTTTTTATTATACTCTAAGTTTTAGGGTACATGTGCACATTGTGCAGGTTAGTTACATATGTATACATGTGCCATGCTGGTGCGCTGCACCCACTAATGTGTCATCTAGCATTAGGTATATCTCCCAATGCTATCCCTCCCCCCTCCCCCGACCCCACCACAGTCCCCAGAGTGTGATATTCCCCTTCCTGTGTCCATGTGATCTCATTGTTCAATTCCCACCTATGAGTGAGAATATGCGGTGTTTGGTTTTTTGTTCTTGCGATAGTTTACTGAGAATGATGGTTTCCAATTTCATCCATGTCCCTACAAAGGATATGAACTCATCATTTTTTATGGCTGCATAGTATTCCATGGTGTATATGTGCCACATTTTCTTAATCCAGTCTATCATTGTTGGACATTTGGGTTGGTTCCAAGTCTTTGCTATTGTGAATAGTGCCCCAATAAACATATGTGTGCATGTGTCTTTATAGCAGCATGATTTATACTCATTTGGGTATATACCCAGTAATGGGATGGCTGGGTCAAATGGTATTTCTAGTTCTAGATCCCTGAGGAATCGCCACACTGACTTCCACAATGGTTGAACTAGTTTACAGTCCCACCAACAGTGTAAAAGTGTTCCTATTTCTCCGCATCCTCTCCAGCACCTGTTGTTTCCTGACTTTTTAATGATTGCCATTCTAACTGGTGTGAGATGATATCTCATAGTGGTTTTGATTTGCATTTCTCTGATGGCCAGTGATGATGAGCATTTCTTCATGTGTTTTTTGGCTGCATAAATGTCTTCTTTTGAGAAGTGTCTGTTCATGTCCTTCGCCCACTTTTTGATGGGGTTGTTTGTTTTTTTCTTGTAAATTTGTTTGAGTTCATTGTAGATTCTGGATATTAGCCCTTTGTCAGATGAGTAGGTTGCGAAAATTTTCTCCCATGTTGTAGGTTGCCTGTTCACTCTGATGGTAGTTTCTTTTGCTGTGCAGAAGCTCTTTAGTTTAATTAGATCCCATTTGTCAATTTTGTCTTTTGTTGCCATTGCTTTTGGTGTTTTGGACATGAAGTCCTTGCCCACGCCTATGTCCTGAATGGTAATGCCTAGGTTTTCTTCTAGGGTTTTTATGGTTTTAGGTTTAACGTTTAAATCTTTAATCCATCTTGAATTGATTTTTGTATAAGGTGTAAGGAAGGGATCCAGTTTCAGCTTTCTACATATG
The DNA here is from genome assembly GCF_000001405.40 of Homo sapiens. NCBI lineage: Eukaryota > Metazoa > Chordata > Mammalia > Primates > Hominidae > Homo > Homo sapiens. The sequence continues at coordinate 49,679 of NT_187380.1, forward strand.
GCTAGCCAGTTTTCCCAGCACCATTTATTAAATAGGGAATCCTTTCCCCATTGCTTGTTTTTCTCAGGTTTGTCAAAGATCAGATAGTTGTAGATATGCGGCATTATTTCTGAGGGCTCTGTTCTGTTCCATTGATCTATATCTCTGTTTTGCTACCAGTACCATGCTGTTTTGGTTACTGTAGCCTTGTAGTATAGTTTGAAGTCAGGTAGTGTGATGCCTCCAGCTTTGTTCTTTTGTCTTAGGATTGACTTGGCAATGCGGGCTCTTTTTTGGTTCCATATGAACTTTAAAGTAGTTTTTTCCAATTCTGTGAAGAAAGTCATTGGTAGCTTGATGGGGATGGCATTGAATCTGTAAATTACCTTGGGCAGTATGGCCATTTTCACGATATTGATTCTTCCTACCCATGAGCATGGAATGTTCTTCCATTTGTTTGTCTCCTCTTTTATTTCCTTGAGCAGTGGTTTGTAGTTCTCCTTGAAGAGGTCCTTCACATCCCTTGTAAGTTGGATTCCTAGGTATTTTATTCTCTTTGAAGCAATTGTGAATGGGAGTTCACCCATGATTTGGCTCTCTGTTTGTCTGTTGTTGGTGTATAAGAATGCTTGTGATTTTTGTACATTGATTTTGTATCCTGAGACTTTGCTGAAGTTGCTTATCAGCTTAAGGAGATTTTGGGCTGAGACGATCGGGTTTTCTAGATAAACAATCATGTCGTCTGCAAACAGGGACAATTTGACTTCCTCTTTTCCTAATTGAATACCCTTTCTTTCCTTCTCCTGCCTGATTGCCCTGGCCAGAACTTCCAACACTATGTTGAATAGGAGCAGTGAGAGAGGGCATCCCTGTCTTGTGCCGGTTTTCAAAGGGAATGCTTCCAGTTTTTGCCCATTCAGTATGATATTGGCTGTGGGTTTGTCATAGATAGCTCTTATTATTTTGAAATACGTCCCATCAATACCTAATTTATTGAGAGTTTTTAGCATGAAGGGTTGTTGAATTTTGTCAAAGGCTTTTTCTGCATCTATTGAGATAATCATGTGTTTTTTGTCTTTGGCTCTGTTTATATGCTGGATTACATTTATTGATTTGTGTATATTGAACCAGCCTTGCATCCCAGGGATGAAGCCCACTTGGTCATGGTGGATAAGCTTTTTGATGTGCTGCTGGATTCGGTTTGCCAGTATTTTATTGAGGATTTTTGCATCAATGTTCATCAAGGATATTGGTCTAAAATTCTCTTTTTTGGTTGTGTCTCTGCCCGGCTTTGGTATCAGAATGATGCTGGCCTCATAAAATGAGTTAGGGAGGATTCCCTCTTTTTCTATTGATTGGAATAGTTTCAGAAGGAATGGTACCAGTTCCTCCATGTACCTCTGGTAGAATTCGGCTGTGAATCCATCTGGTCCTGGACTCTTTTTGGTTGGTAAACTATTGATTATTGCCACAATTTCAGAGCCTGTTATTGGTCTATTCAGAGATTCAACTTCTTCCTGGTTTAGTCTTGGGAGAGTGTATGTGTCGAGGAATGTATCCATTTCTTCTAGATTTTCTAGTTTATTTGCGTAGAGGTGTTTGTAGTATTCTCTGATGGTAGTTTGTATTTCTGTGGGATCGGTGGTGATATCCCCTTTATCATTTTTTATTGTGTCTATTTGATTCTTCTCTCTTTTTTTCTTTATTAGTCTTGCTAGCGGTCTATCAATTTTGTTGATCCTTTCAAAAAACCAGCTCCTGGATTCATTGATTTTTTGAAGGGTTTTTTGTGTCTCTATTTCCTTCAGTTCTGCTCTGATTTTAGTTATTTCTTGCCTTCTGCTAGCTTTTGAATGTGTTTGCTCTTGCTTTTCTAGTTCTTTTAATTGTGATGTTAGGGTGTCAATTTTGGATCTTTCCTGCTTTCTCTTGTAGGCATTTAATGCTATAAATTTCCCTCTACACACTGCTTTGAATGCGTCCCAGAGATTCTGGTATGTGGTGTCTTTGTTCTCGTTGGTTTCAAAGAACATCTTTATTTCTGCCTTCATTTCGTTATGTACCCAGTAGTCATTCAGGAGCAGGTTGTTCAGTTTCCATGTAGTTGAGCGGCTTTGAGTGAGATTCTTAATCCTGAGTTCTAGTTTGATTGCACTGTGGTCTGAGAGATAGTTTGTTATAATTTCTGTTCTTTTACATTTGCTGAGGAGAGCTTTACTTCCAACTATGTGGTCAATTTTGGAATAGGTGTGGTGTGGTGCTGAAAAAAATGTATATTCTGTTGATTTGGGGTGGAGAGTTCTGTAGATGTCTATTAGGTCTGCTTGGTGCAGAGCTGAGTTCAATTCCTGGGTATCCTTGTTGACTTTCTGTCTCGTTGATCTGTCTAATGTTGACAGTGGGGTGTTAAAGTCTCCCATTATTAATGTGTGGGAGTCTAAGTCTCTTTGTAGGTCACTGAGGACTTGCTTTATGAATCTGGGTGCTCCTGTATTGGGTGCATAAATATTTAGGATAGTTAGCTCCTCTTGTTGAATTGATCCCTTTACCATTATGTAATGGCCTTCTTTGTCTCTTTTGATCTTTGTTGGTTTAAAGTCTGTTTTATCAGAGACTAGGATTGCAACCCCTGCCTTTTTTTGTTTTCCATTGGCTTGGTAGATCTTCCTCCATCCTTTTATTTTGAGCCTATGTGTGTCTCTGCACACGAGATGGGTTTCCTGAATACAGCACACTGATGGGTCTTGACTCTTTATCCAACTTGCCAGTCTGTGTCTTTTAATTGCAGAATTTAGTCCATTTATATTTAAAGTTAATATTATTATGTGTGAATTTGATCCTGTCATTATGATGTTAGCTGGTGATTTTGCTCATTAGTTGATGCAGTTTCTTCCTAGTCTCGATGGTCTTTACATTTTGGCATGATTTTGCAGCGGCTGGTACCGGTTGTTCCTTTCCATGTTTAGCACTTCCTTCAGGAGCTCTTTTAGGGCAGGCCTGGTGGTGACAAAATCTCTCAACATTTGCTTGTCTATAAAGTATTTTATTTCTCCTTCACTTATGAAGCTTAGTTTGGCTGGATATGAAATTCTGGGTTGAAAATTCTTTTCTTTAAGAATGTTGAATATTGGCCCCACTCTCTTCTGGCTTGTAGGGTTTCTGCCGAGAGATCCGCTGTTAGTCTGATGGGCTTTCCTTTGAGGGTAACCCGACCTTTCTCTCTGGCTGCCCTTAACATTTTTTCCTTCATTTCAACTTTGGTGAATCTGACAATTATGTGTCTTGGAGTTGCTCTTCTCAAGGAGTATCTTTGTGGCGTTCTCTGTATTTCCTGAATCTGAACGTTGGCCTGCCTTGCTAGATTGGGGAAGTTCTCCTGGATAATATCCTGCAGAGTGTTTTCCAACTTGGTTCCATTCTCCACATCACTTTCAGGTACACCAATCAGACGTAGATTTGGTCTTTTCACATAGTCCCATATTTCTTGGAGGCTTTGCTCATTTCTTTTTATTCTTTTTTCTCTAAACTTCCCTTCTCGCTTCATTTCATTCATTTCATCTTCCATTGCTGATACCCTTTCTTCCAGTTGATCGCATCGGCTCCTGAGGCTTCTGCATTCTTCACGTAGTTCTCGAGCCTTGGTTTTCAGCTCCATCAGCTCCTTTAAGCACTTCTCTGTATTGGTTATTCTAGTTATACATTCTTCTAAATTTTTTTCAAAGTTTTCAACTTCTTTGCCTTTGGTTTGAATGTCCTCCTGTAGCTCAGAGTAATTTGATCGTCTGAAGCCTTCTTCTCTCAGCTCGTCAAAATCATTCTCCATCCAGCTTTGTTCTGTTGCTGGTGAGGAACTGCGTTCCTTTGGAGGAGGAGAGGCGCTCTGCGTTTTAGAGTTTCCAGTTTTTCTGTTCTGTTTTTTCCCCATCTTTGTGGTTTTATCTACTTTTGGTCTTTGATGATGGTGATGTACAGATGGGTTTTCGGTGTAGATGTCCTTTCTGGTTGTTAGTTTTCCTTCTAACAGACAGGACCCTCAGCTGCAGGTCTGTTGGAATACCCTGCCGTGTGAGGTGTCAGTGTGCCCCTGCTGGGGGGTGCCTCCCAGTTAGGCTGCTCGGGGGTCAGGAATCAGGGACCCACTTGAGGAGGCAGTCTGCCCGTTCTCAGATCTCCAGCTGCGTGCTGGGAGAACCACTGCTCTCTTCAAAGCTGTCAGACAGGGACACTTAAGTCTGCAGAGGTTACTGCTGTCTTTTTGTTTGTCTGTGCCCTGCCCCCAGAGGTGGAGCCTACAGAGGCAGGCAGGCCTCCTTGAGCTGTGGTGGGCTCCACCCAGTTCGAGCTTCCCGGCTGCTTTGTTTACCTAAGCAAGCCTGGGCAATGGCGGGCGCCCCTCCCCCAGCCTCGTTGCCGCCTTGCAGTTTGATCTCAGACTGCTGTGCTAGCAATCAGCGAGATTCCGTGGGCGTAGGACCCTCCGAGCCAGGTGTGGGATATAGTCTCGTGGTGCGCCGTTTCTTAAGCCGGTCTGAAAAGCGCAATATTCGGGTGGGAGTGACCCGATTTTCCAGGTGCGTCCGTCACCCCTTTCTTTGACTCGGAAAGGGAACTCCCTGACCCCTTGCGCTTCCCAGGTGAGGCAATGCCTCGCCCTGCTTCGGCTCGCGCACGGTGCGCACACACACTGGCCTGCGCCCACTGTCTGGCACTCCCTAGTGAGATGAACCCGGTACCTCAGATGGAAATGCAGAAATCACCATCTTCTGCGTCGCTCACGCTGGGAGCTGTAGACCGGAGCTGTTCCTATTCGGCCATCTTGGCTCCTCCCTCCTCCCGCTTGTTTTCTTATGCATATAAAGGGATAGGAAATATGTATGTATGTATGTATGTATGTATGTATGTATGTATGTGTGTGTATAGGATCATGCACTATATATAGCTTGCTTCTTTTTCCACTATGATAATTTTCCCATGTCATGAATTACGGCTTGCAAGTGCTTATTCTTAACAGGCTGCATTATTTTTCATTATTTGGATTTATTGTTATTTAATTGGAGCTCTATTATTGAACATTTAGATTGCTTCCAAAATTTTTTGCTCTTGTTAATATATTGTAATAAACTTCTGTGAAACACATACTCTTCACCTGCTACTTACATATGACTTCTGTAAGCCGAGACCTCTGTATCCCCAGGACCTAGAAGGTTACCTGGACATAGTAGTTTCTTAATTAAAAAAAATTATTGATTGAATGAAAGAAGACTATTAAATGTTCAGTTCTTCTTTTTTTATTCTGATTCCCTGTGTATCCAGAGGCCTCTTATTTGTCTGCATGTATGAGTTTGGCTGTAATGAAAGTATTGGCCATATATGACCATAAACAGGCATTCCTATTTCTGTCACAGTTATATTTGTCATTCTGTATTAATACATCTATACCCTGATTTCTATTGAAGCATGGTTATTTTTGTTTGCTTCTAAGCAATGTAGCTACCCTACTGATGCCGATAAAAATAAATTTCTGAACCTATAAGACTGAGGATTGGGCCTAGGTTGTGGTAAATTGGCAAGATAATGGATACTACCCTGTCAAGAGCCCTCTGAAGAGAAAAGTCTGCCACCCTTCACCAGGTAGAAACTCCTGGCAGTGCCACATTTTCCAGTTTGACGCCCTGTGATACCCTGAAAACACAGATGTTTGACTCTTTTCAAATAATATTTTAACATATTTTAAGATGCAAAGGCATTGTGTCAGATTTTTTTCTTAAGAATGTATTTCATTACCACTCAGAAGTTAGCTTCCAAAAGAAATAAGTGTGTGCAAAGGCTTATGATAGTGGTGTAGAGAAGTTTTTAAAATAAATGTGCATCTTTTATGGTAATAAAAGCACATTATGAAGAATTTTTTAGGTCCAGTTCACAGATTCCTTGTGCCTGGGGAAAACTTTATTAGAAAATTAGATCATTTCTAATTTGATTAGGGGAAGTCTAATGGGAAAACTTTTTAACTGAGCGGTCCAATTCGAAACATGAATATCTGTGCTGGAAGCTTCTATTGAACTTTACTTAAGTCACATCTAAGACCCTCTGGCTGTCAGTCCACCATTACCCTAACAGTGGTAGAAATTCTTTATATGACACCTAGATCTTTTTTTGTTGCACTTTTAAGCTGTGTAGGAAACACACTGCCCACATGTTCATACAACACAGAGTGATTATCCACTTAGTTCCTAAAAAGTTGTATTTGGTTATGGGGTTTGATCCCACTTTTCCAGGGTTTAGGTCAGCTACTGAAAATTAGGATATCTGGGTACCTCTTACTGGAGAATCCATTCCTGTTTTCATTTCATTCCTGGGGGCAATATTCAATCTGGTGTGGCCCTCTGTATTATAAAATATTTCCCAGATTGTGTTTATCTGAAATACAAATCCAAGAAGAAGCATGGTGTTAATTGCCGTGTAAAAAAGATTCCAGAGTGAAGAGCTTGAGACGTTCTATTCCTTCCTTCATAGGTTCAGTTGTTTAACCCAGCATTTTTCAAACATATTTTACTCCTAGAACCTGTTTTTCATCAGACATATTTAAGAAAAAAGCGTTTTGTAGAACACATTTGGACAAATGATACTTTATATCATTACTTTGTTTTTTAAATTTTAGTTTGACTCAATTTTACAGTTTCAGGATTTTGTTTCTGCTTCAGGTTTTAAGCTTTTCTTTTATAAATAGTTACTTTCCTAGTCTGAAATGTATACATTGTTTCAGTAATGAATTCGTTATGTAAATTTGCCCATCATTCATCTAAAGGGAATAAACGTTAAATTGTTTTTTTAAATTTTGACTTGTGTCACATATGAGAATATAAAGTATATCTGTACAATAAAGGAAAATGAAACATCAAAGTATCTACCTCAGATTAAGAAGCAGAACTTGGCCGGGCATGGTGGCTCACCCCTGTAATCCCAGCACTTTGGGAGGCAGAAGTGGGAAGATCACTTGAAGCCAGGAGTTGGAGACCAGCTTGTTCAATAAAGGAAGACCTCATCTCTAACAACAACCACAACAGCAAAAAATTAGCCAGGCACGGTGGCACATGCTTATAGTCCCAGCTACTGGTGCAGCCTCGAACTCCTGGTCTCAAGCTATCTTCCCACCTCAGCCTCATGTTGTAGTGAACTTTGTTATGCAGTGTCTCCTATTCTACATGTGCAGGAGTATTTTTACAGTATGTACCTGGAGTGGAATTGCTTGGTCATTGGGCATGTGTGTGTTCAGCTCTATTGAGTGGCATCATACCGTTCTCCAAAGCAGTTGTACCAATCTACACCCTCACCAGCAGTGAATAGTCTTCCCATTGTTCTTCCTCAATGAAACTAGATATTCACAGCCTTTTAGGTTTTTCCTAGAGTATGAAGTGGTATCTCTTTGGGGTTTTAATGTTTATTTCCCTGATTAGAATTGTAGTTGAGCATCTTTTATTATGTTTATGGACCATTTATGTTCTCTCTTCTGTGAAATTCCTATTCGGGTTTTTTGCTCATTTTAAATGTTGTTGTTTGTGTTTTTCTTATATAGGAACTCTTCACGCATTCAAGATGCACATATGTTGTTCAGAATAGTACCTGAGACATAGAAACAACTTTGTAAGAATAGCTATCATTATATTACCATTGTATTTAATCCTTTGTTTTTATGTGTTACAATTATCTTCTGCTAGTTTGTGGCTTATTTTTCATTCTGTGATGCTAATTTTTTAACCTAGTATTCTATTATTTTTAAAATACACAATCTTGAGTAGTCTACATGTTCATAACCATGACATATTCATGTTGCATATGTTCTGTGTCATAACCCAGAACTTTCTTTTTTTTTTTTTTTTTGAGATGGAGTTTTGCTTTTGTCACCCAGTCTGCAGCAATGGCGTGATCTTGGCTAACTGCAAACTCTACCTCCTGGGTTCAAGAGATTCTCCTGCCTCAGCCTCCTGAGTAGCTGGGATTACAGGCACCTGCCACCATGCCCAGCTAATTTTTGTATTTTTAGTAATGACGTTGTTTCGCCATGTTGGCCAGGCTGTTCTCGAAATCCTGACCTCAGGTTATCCGCCCACCTTGGCCTCCCAAAATGTTGAGATTACAGGCATGAGCAGCTGCACATGGCCAACTTTCAGTCTTAAGTACCATTTTTTGCTGCTGTTTCTTTTTTTGAACCCCAGGAAAAAATTAACTCATTTAATCCCCTATTCAAACTGCTACAATTTTATTTTCAGTGTTGTCGCCTGGTTGTAGATGCATTTGTCTCTCCAAATGCACTGTGATTATTTCAAAGACAAAACATTTTTGGCATTGTGATATATATATACATATATATATATATATATATATGTATATATATGTATATGTATGTATATATATGTATATAATATATATTGTATAAATATTTATATTTTATATATCATATAAAAATTATATATAAAAATTATATATATATATATATAAATGCCACTTATCCCTAATATAGGGACTCGATTAGTTTCTGCTAGTGTGGGGACAAGTCTTATCATGGCTAGGGGCCACGATGGTAGGAGCAGTCAGAGGATTTCTTGCATTGTGATGAGTGCATATATGTTAAATGAGCCACTTATCAGTAGATTTGATAGCAGGATAACAGTTATATCACTGATACCTAGGCAGTACATGACACTCTCTAAAGAATAGATTAATCCTCATGCTCTTCATCTTCCTCCTAATCTCTTTACCTGTGCTGCCCTCCAGCTTTCAAAGTGCTCTGAGTCATCACTTACACAGTGTTCCTTAGCTGCCCCTTCAGTGGGCCAGTGTTTCTGTGCCCCAGTGTTCCTGAGAGTTAGAACACAGAAAACAGAGCAGGCTCTTGCCCACATCACAGAACATCTTTGTCTCCCTGTGGATCCCGCACATTTGTTCATTAGAGCTCAGGAATTGCCAGAGACTGGCTTTTCTGGCAATGGACACTAGATTCTTCAGAAGAATATTGGTTGAAATCTTCAGTGATGGGGTCTATGAGGTAATTCAGTCAAATGAGGCAGGTGAGTTCCTTCTGGAAGGCTTCTGGGAAGTCTAAGTCCATTTTTCTGAGGGAAGAAAACCAGAAGAATTTATTCTTATGCCATAGAGAGACAAAGATCTACACAAAATTTGAAACAGGTTTTGAGTAGGATCCGCTCACAGGTTTAAATCTATAGCAGGATACGATTTTATTTTGCACATAACAAAATGAAAAACTGAGGCACAGAATTCAAGCTTTGCAGAAAAATGTGTTGGCTCCCTAACCAACACTCACACACACACCTACTTTCCCAAATTCTTTCCTCCTGTATGAAAAAACTTAAGGCTGGGCACGGTGGCTCATGCTTGTAATCCAGCACTTTGGGAGGCTGAGGCAGCAGGATTGTTTGATCCAAGGAGTCCAAGACCAGCCTGGGCAACATGATGAGACCCTGTCTCTACAAAAAGAAAAGGAGGAAAAAATTAGCTGAGCATGCCAATACTCCCAGCTACTAGGGAGGCTGAAGTGAGACGTTTGCTTGAGCCCAGGAGGTTAAGGCAGCAGTGAGCCATAATCCAGCCACTACACTCTAGCCTGAATGACAGAGCAAGACTGTCTCAAAAATGAACAAAGAAAGAAAAGAAAGAGAGAGAGAGGGAGGGAGGGAAGGAGGAAGGAAGGAAGGAAGGAAGGAAGGAAGGAAGGAAGGAAGGAAGAAAAGGAAGGAAGGAAGTTTACAGAGTTTTTTGAGGTGTTAGTGTTCCCTAAATTGTATGGTCTTCAGAGGTTTACTCTCCTATAGCTTCAAGGGGTGAGTCCTGACTGGTAGGAAAATCAATCACACTCTTACTTGCCAGTGATTCATTTAGGGAAGACAGCTAACTAAGCTCTTCCATTTTGATTATTTCATTTAATTGTAACAACCATCTTATCATGACTTCTTCAAAATTACCCGGCCAGTAAGTGCTGGAGGACTCCCCAGAAGCAGAAACCACCATGCTTCCAGTATAGCCTACGGAACCATTAGCCAACTAAAGGTGTTTCTCAGGTATTTCTTTATATCTTCAGCCAAAATTAAAGAGTTAGGCTTTACTCTCCAAGATACTGCAACAGACAAAAACAAGGCACCACTGTTTTCTAATGTTGTTTTCTTGTTAATTCAATCAACAAGTATTTTCTGGTAAGTTTACTGTTCCAGAGACTGTTAACCTGGTGATGCACCGGTTAATAAAACATCCTTAAGAGAAATAAAAGTTTAAAAATAAACCAGATGATAAAATGCAGTAGTGTACACAATGCCACTTATCCGCATGTCTTCTCTCTGTCACCCATGATCCAGAAAATTTCTTTAGTATAAGCCATTGATAAAGATGCCTGAAAAATTCATGTATAGAAGACATAGTCACAAAATTATTTTTTTCCTTTGATATCCCTTGTTACCTCAAACAGAATTTACCACTCCAATTCGATTTCTGAATACATGGGAGTTAATAGAGTACTCCTAATCCATTTATAGGATCTACACTAAGTAAAAAAATTAAAGACATCTGAAAACTATTTTGTAAGTCCTTATAATCCATATCAACAATTATGGAATATATTAAGTAATAGACCAAAAATTAATCATCATATTAACCAAAAACACATAGCAAGACAAGATAACTAAATATTTTCATTTGGAAATTGGGAAATTTAGTCAATTTTAAAACTCAGCAAATGAGATCATTTCACAGAAGCAACCTAGGTTTGCTGGTAAATTAAAATTATGACATTTTGTTTTGGTTTGGGAGGGTAGTTCCTCTTCTGTAAATTGTGTACTCACATAAGAAATATATCTATGTTCTCACAGACACTTGCTGTAGAGGTAATAATATGAAGTTAGCTCAGGGATCAGGGCCTCACAGTGCAGTGCTGGTAGTTTTTTTTTTTTTTTTTTTTTTTTTTTGCCCTGCACCTTGAGTAAAAGTTTCCTGAGGCCTCCCCGGAAGCAGAAACCACTATGCTTCCTGTATAGCCTATGGAACGGTGAGCCAACTAAAGGTATTTCTCATGTATTTCTTTGTAGCAATGCAAGAACGTACTAATACAGCTAAGCAGAGGCTATCAGGACCAGCAACAGTCTGAGCTGGATGAGAGACAAAGCTAAACTTAGAGCAGCAGCAGGAGCTGCCAGGGAGACAGAAAGGAAGGACAGACTCCTAAATTCCAGGATGTCTCCTTTAAGTCTGTAAGAAGCTCAGCCACCGTCTCCTTACCTGACTCCTCTGGGAAAGAGTTTCCCTAGGTTAAGCCATACAGGGATAGGGTAGGAGATGCCATTTGGATCTAGGAGCAGAGGGCAGAGACTCAGCAGGAAGAGTGTCTCTTTGAGAAGGAGACACAGTGGAGTAGGTGTGTAGGTTCACAGGGCCAGCTATGGGTAGAGTCGGGTGTACATTTTTAGAAGCCACAATTCCCCAAAATCTCCTGACTATAACATCAGTGCACAGAGCCAGTGAAATGGAGGAGGAGTGGGTTCAGGCAATTCAGGAAGAAGGAAAGTAACAAATGAGTGGTTGCAGGAGGACACTTTTTCTGTCGAGGTCACTAAACAAAACATTGTCTCCTCCCCTTAACTTCGGAAACAAGCAATGGAGGGTAAAAGTGTTGCCTGGGCCCTGGGGGCAAAGGCAGTAGATAACTTCTCTGTCGCGTTCTCCAGAAGGGCCCATTCCAGCCTCACAGGCTGAGAAGTCTGTTCGGTTCCCAAGTACTAGAGATGCTGCTATAAGGGACTCCCGAATTTCCTTCCTGAACCAGAGGCTGCCCAGCCTTTTCTTCCTGTTTTATTTTTTCCCAGGAAGATACTTGCCTGTACAATTACAAGGTTCTACGGTTCTAAATTCCAATCTAGTCTTCCACATCATTTTGAAGGTATAATATTATTTGTCAAAGTGGGATGATAGAACATAAGTGTGGACATAAAATTAAATTGTTGACAAGGAAAAAAACTAAAATAAGAAAATAAGAGAGAAAAAATATATGTATGTACAGTGGTTAGCTAGAAATATGCCCTTTAAATATTTGGCATGTGGTATGTGGGCCTCAATGTGTACTATTGCACTAGCTTCCCAAATATTAAAGGATGTCTTTTAAAAGAAAAACCTCTTGCTAAAAGGTTAACAGTTAAAATAACCAGAGTGGCACAGGTACCAGTCATTAAGTGAAACCTTTCATCTTCCCAGAATAGTACCTGTTCCCAAGCCAGCTTCGTTGAAAATCACTTTTCTCTCCTTTACTATTTAGTTTACAGATTGTATAGTAACAATACAGAAACCACAATAGTAGCAAAAAGATAAAGAATATTTTTAAATGAAAACTCACATCCTAACTCTACCAAAACACGAAAATTAAACCTGAATGCCTCCCATTCCTGATATATTTTTCACCTAAATATTCAGCTCTGGGATTGCATTGTTTTTGGATTGAGTGGAAATTATTGCCTGGTCTTGAAATCTTCCATAATGTGTGTGTGTGTGTGGGTGTGTGCGTGTGTGTGTGTGTGTGTGTATGTGTGTGTGGTGAATATATTTCTTTTTGTTCAGAGCAAACATTTTTTCAATATGTATATTTATTTTAGGCAGATTATGCTAGTAATTTTCTACAAATGTGCTTTTTAAAAAATAACCTTTAATTTAAAAAATATATTCTTACTCAGTGGCCCACAATTGTTAAAAATGCTACTAATGGAGCTGGGTATGGTGACATACACCTGTCATCCCAGCTACTTGGGAGACTGAGGCAGGGGTATTGCTTAAACTTGGGAATGTGAAACCAGCCTGGGCAACATAGTGAGATCTCAATCTCAAAAATCAATCAATCATTAAAAAATAAAATAAAACACTACTAATAGCTTTTTAAAAAATAGTTCTTAACCAATTTTCCTAACACCTTCCTTTCCTCACTGAAGTATAGAAATATGTGGTCAGGCACTGTGGCTCACACTTATAATCCCAATAATTTGGGAAGCCAAGGCATGAGGGTCAGTTGATTCCAGGAGTTCAAGACTAGCCAGGGTGACATAAGGATACTTGGTCTCTAACAAAAATTTTTTTGTTCTTTAATTACCAGGGCATGATGGTACATGCTTGTAGCCCAGCTACTTGGAAGACTGAGGTAAGAGAATCACTTGAGCCCAGGAGGTCAAGGCTGCAGTGAGCCATGGTTGCACCACTGCACTTCATACCTGGGTGACAGAGTGAGACACAGTATCAAAAACAAACAAAAAACAACAAAAAGTATTTGTTTTAGAAAAAAACATTTGGTGAGGTTGGGGCTTAAAAATATATTATTCTAAAATATTCATAAATATTCTCTAGTAATGATAAGATTAAAGTGACAAAGACAAACTTTTTTCCTGTACAGTTCCATCTCTCACCTTCCCGTAATTTGTCTGTCCCATCCAGCTTCCAAAGGAAATTATTTACAAAATAATGTCTGCATCCTGGGTCTATATATCTATTGCCTATGAGGAGAGCGTTTAAGATCTGAGCCATCTTCAAGTCTTATACTTTGTGTATAGCTCTCATGTTTTTGCAGGTTAAGTAAGTTTGTATACCCTTTCTTTTATTAATCTGTGTATGGTCAGTTCATTTCGGGTAATCTTCAGAGGGTGAAAGGGGAAGCTTTTCACTTCACTCCTACTGTGACAACTAACTACCTTCTTACTTATTCAATTTTTTAGTCTATATCAACACTTTCATATACATTTACTTTTAAACAAAATTTTCCATCATTACACTTAAAATTTTATTTACCTTTTAAAAAGGAAATTAAAAATAAAATTAAAAATTATAAAATTTTACATAATAAAAATAAAATAAATGATTTATATAAAAATTAATCTGACCTGTGAAAAACACTATCCAGAGGCCAGGCGCGGTGGTTAACGCTTGTAATCCCAGCACTTTGGGAGGCCGAGGTGGGTGGATCACGAGGTCAGGCGATCTAGACCACGATGAAACCCCACTCTACCAAAAATACAAAAAAATAGCCGGGTGTAGTGGCGGGCTCCTGTAGTCCCAGCCACTCAAAGAGGCTGAGGCAGGAGAATGGCGTGAATCCAGGAGGCGGAGCTTGCAGTGAGCCGAGATCGTGCCACTGCAATCCAGCCTGGGTGACAGAGCCAGACTCTGTCAAAAAAAAAAAAAAAAGAAAAAGAAAAACACTATCGAGAGAATAAAAAGACAAATCACAGACTGGGAGTAAAAATTTACAAAAGCTATATCTGGTGAAGATACATTTGTTATCCAAAATATACAAAGAACTCTCAGGACTCAATAATAGGAAAACAAATAGTCTAACACAAATGTAGAGATCTGAACAGACATTTCACCATAGAATACAGATGGATGATACGTAAGAACATTGAAAGATGTTCAACATCATTCATCATTAGGGAAATGTAAATTAAAACCACAATGAGATACTGCTACATGCCTATTAGAATAGCTAAAATTTAAAAGACTGACCATACTAAACATTGGTGAGAACACAAAGGAACAGGAATGCTCATACACTGCTGCTGGAAATACAGCCACTTTGTCAGTTTCTTTAAAAGTTAAACTGGCCGGGAGCGGTGGCTCACGCCTGTAATCCCAGCACTTTGGGAGGCCAAGGCGGGCGGATCACGAGGTCGGGAAATCGAGACCATCCTAGCTAACACGGTGAAACCCCGTATCTACTAAAAATACAAAAAATTAGCCGGGCGTGGTGGCGAGCGCCTGTAATCCCAGCTACTCCGGAGGCTGAGGCAGGAGAATGGCGTGAACCTGGGAGGCGGAGCTTTCAGTGAGCCTCCATGCACCACTGCACTCCAGCCTGGGCGACAGAGCGAGACTCTGTCTCAAAAAAAAAAAAAAAAATTTAAACATATCACACCACTTAGTCATTCAAATCCTGCTTATTTGCCCAAGACAAATGAAAGCGTATGTCCAAACGATTGGACAAACATTCGTAGCAACTTTATTTGAAATAGCAAAAACAACTGGAAGCAAACCAAATGTCCATCAAGAGGTGAGTAGATACACTAACTGTAGAATATCCATACAATAAAACTTTTTTTTAAACTAAGGGGCAAAAAACAAAAAAACAAAGATAGAATCTAACTTCTTGGTAAATACATTCACTATTAGGGTTTTTATAACAGAGAAGTCATTCTTTATTAACACTCTTTTGACTATTAAAATATTTTGACATCAAAAATCTGCAAAATATGAAGAAACAAGGGACACACAGCTTTTTCTATTTTCTATTTTTATTTTATTTTTATTTTTTTGAGAAGGAGTCTCTTTCTGTCACACAGGCTAGAGTGCAGTGGTGCGATCTTAGCTCACTTCAAGCTGTGCCTCCCAGTTCACGCCATTCTCCTGCCTCAGTCTCCCGAGTAGCTGGGACTACAGGCGCCCGCCACCAAGCCCAGCTAATTTTTTGTATTTTTAGTAGAGACGGGGTTTCACCGTTAGCCAGGATGGTCTCAATCCCTGACCTCGTGATCTGCCCGCCTCGGCCTCTCAAAGTGCTGGGATTACAGGCGTGAGCCACCGCCCCCGGCCCCAGGACACACAGCTTTAAAATTTCTCATTGGTCTCACCCAGTGCCAACCACCTAAAACCTCTCATTTTCCCCCAGACATTTCTTCTGCCTCCAGGATGGAGGTAGAGAATCTTGGCCTTGGGCCACGCACTGGGGACCATGCTAGGCTGCCGTGGTCAGTGACAGACTCAGGTTCTCACCAGCATCCCCAAAATAGGCCCCTGAAAAAAATGTTACCATCAGGGTGCGCTCCCTGATTCTTGTGTCTGCTGGAAGGAGGAAATCAAGCCAGGAACGTTGTCAGGATAGAGATGAAAATGGGGCTCACTTTTCTGTCTCTTGTGATGTCAGACAAGCCTTTCAGCTCTGTCTCCTCAGCCCTCATGGAATCGTTTGGTGTGGACGCACCGAGATTCTGAACTGGGTCTCCTTTCCCTCTGCCCTTCTCTGGGGCCAGATTCTGAGCTCTCCATTCCAATTTTTCCCCCAATTTGCCCTTGCGTTTATTTATCTGGATTACTGTCTGCCTGTCCCAAAGAATAAAAGCTTTATCACAGTGGGAACTTTGTTTAAAAAAATAATAATAACAGCTATATTTTTAGGATCCATGACACTGTCCAGCATATCGGTGGTATCTGATAAAAAATGTTTGTTGACTGAATGAACAAATATATTATTCACAATTCACATTATCCTGAACTGGCTAGAAAATTAAATATCTGATATCAGTATTGGCAGCATTATGAAGTAAATATAATTCTGACACAGTGCTCGTGAAAGTCTAATATGAAATGCTCATTTTAGAAAACATTTTCTTGTAGATTTGAAAATGTTTCATCTCCATGAACTAGTTGTATATCTGCAAGTTGCGTTTCTTTGGGTTAGGCAGAATAATTGCTCCCCACCAAAGACAGCCACATCCCAGTCTTCAGATAAGGTGAACATGCTAAAGTAAGTTAGCATGTTCAAAGGGACTTGGCAGATGTGATTACCATTAAGGGCATTGAAATGGGGAAATTACCTTGAATTACCTTGGTGAGTCCAATCTAATCTCATAATTCCTTGAGAGCAGAGAATATTTTCTGGATGCTGAGATTCAGACAGATGACAGTATGAGAAAGATGTGGCCTGCTATTACTGGCTTTTAAAACAGTGGTAGGGGGCCACAAGCCAAGGAAAGCCAGTGACCTTTAGAAGCTGGGAATGACCCAAAGTTTTCAACCAGGAAGAAACTGAGGATCTACAACCACAAGGAACTGAATTCTGCCAACAACCCAGATGCTCTTTTAGAGCCTTCAGAAAGAAATGCAGCCTGCCAACATCTTGATGTTAGTTCAGTGAGAGCCATGCCAGATTTCCAACCAAAACAATTCTAAGACAAGTTTATGTGTGTTTTTTAAAACTGACTCAAATCTTACAAAAATGTGTACTTTTAAGCCACTGAATTTGTGGTAAGTTATTACAGCAGGAATAGAAAACTAATACAACCCTAGAGAAAGTCTTGTACATGTGCTCTATAAACACACAGCAGAATTTTTTTAACTTTTTATTGAGTTAAAAAATATATGTATAATTTACCATCTGTACATTTTTAGAGGACAGTTTAGTGGTGATAAATACATTTATATTTTCTTCTCTTAATCTCCTCTTCCAACTCCCCTTGCTGGCCTCTAGCAACCACCAATTTACTTTCTATCTTCATGAGATTCACTTTTTTACTGCCCACATATGAGTGACAACATGTGATATTTGCCTTTCTGTGCTTGGCTCATTCCACTTAACATAATGGCCTCTGTTCATTACGTTAAGCCAAATGGCCAGCGCCACCTATGTTGCTGTGAATGACAGAATTTCATTCTTCTTTGTATCTGAGTAGTATTCCATTATGTATATATATGACTTTTAAAATCTATTCATTTGTTGATGAGCACTTACGTTGATTCCATATTTTGTCTATTGTGAATAGTGCTGCAGTACACATCGGCATGTAGATATGTCTTTGATACATTAATTTCCTTTATTTTGGATATATATCCAGTAAAGAAATTGCTGGGCCACATGGTAGTTCTATTTTTACTTTTTTGAGGAACCTCCATACTGTTCTCCATAGTGGCTTTATTAATGTAGATTCCCACTAACAGTGTACTAGTATTTCCCTTTCTCCACATCCTTGCCAGCATCTGTTATTGCCTGTCTTTTTGAAACAAGTCATTTCAACCAAGGTGAGATGATATTGCATTGTGATTTTGATTTGCATTTCTTTGACGATTAGTGATATTGAACATTTTTTCATCTTCCTATTGGCCATTTGTATGTCTTCTTTTGAGAAAATATCTGTTCAGATCTTTAGCCCATTTTTAAATTGTATTTATTTATATATTTTTAACTATTATTTTTTTAGAAGCAAGGTCTTGCTTTGTCACCCAAGCTAAAGGGCAGTAGCATAATCATAGCTCACTGTAACCTCAAACTCCTGGGATTAAGAAATCCTCCTGACCGGGCGCGGTGGCTCACGCCTGTATTCCCAGCACTTTGGGAGGCCGAGGCGGACAGATCACGAGGTTAGGAGATCAGGACCATCCTGGCTAACACGGTGAAACCCCGTCTCTACTAAAAATACAGTAAATTAGCCTGGCTTGGTGCCGGGCGCCTGTAGTCCCAGCTACTCAGGAGGCTGAGGCAGGAGAATGGCATGAACCCCTGGGGAGCAGAGTCTGCAGTGAGCCGAGATCGTGCCACTGCACTCCAGCCTGGACGACAGCGAGACTCCATCTCAAAAAAAAAAAAAAAAAAAATCCTCCTACCTCAGCCTCTTCAGTAGCCCATTTTTCAATCAGATTTTTTGTTTATTATTGAGTTGTTTGAGCTCCTTATATATTCTACTTGTTAATCCTTTATCAGATAGATAGTTTGAAAATATTTTGTCCCAGTCTGTGGTTGGCTCTTCGCTTTGTTGATTGATTCCTTTGCTTGAGGCTTTTTAGTTTGATATAATCCCATTGTCTATTTTTGCTTCTGTTGCCTGTGCTTCCGAGGTCTTACGCAAAAAAATCTTTGCCCAGACTAATGTCCTGGAGCATTTCTCCTATGCTTTCTTTTTTCTTTTTTCTTTTTTTTTTTCACACCATTCTCCTGCCTCAGCCTCCCGAGTAGCTGGGACTACAGGCGCCCACCATCATGCCCCGCTAATTTTTTTTTTTTTTTTTTTGTATTTTTAGTAGAGACGGAGTTTCACCGTGTTAGCCAGGATGGTCCTGATCTCCTAACCTCGTGATCTGTCCGCCTCGGCCTCCCAAAGTGCTGGGAATACAGGCGTGAGCCACCACGCCTGGCCTTTCCTATGCTTTTTTATTTTTTACTAGCTTCATAGTTTGAGGTCTCAGATTCAAGTCTTTAATCCATTTTTATTTGATTTGATTTTTGTGTATGGTAAGATGGGTTTAATTTTATCCTTCTGCATACAGTTATTCAGTTTTCCCAGGATCATTTATTGAAAAGACTGTTGTTTTCCCAGTGTATGTTCTTGATGCCTTTGTCAGAGATGAGTTGTGTGTAAATGTGTACATTTGTCTGCAGTCTCTATTCTGTTCCACTGTCCTATGTGTCTGTTTTTACGCCAGTAGAAATATATTGGCAATAATTAGTACAGAAAAGCTGAAACAATGAAATGACAAAAGTGATTTATACTGATATAATTCCTTATTCTCACTAAATGCAATAGCATACAGCTAGGAAAACAATGTAGTGCACACGGTATTAAAATAGAACACAATTCAATATACACAGTGCTCACAGTGGCCATCGTTAGAGTGTTGACGGGGATGCAGTCAGCAAAAGTTGTACAGGTGACTTCAAAAGTAATCATAAGCACTTATGATTACTTTTGGCTTAATTTCTTAAACCAAGACTGGAGACACAGGTGTTCATTATGTGCTTATTATACATATACAATAAATATTTTATAAATATATTGTTTCTATTCAGTATTTAATAAAGTAAATCAATAGACAAGGTTAAAAATCAATGTACACATATTTCAAATATTTTTTGCTCCAAGTTATATAAACATTGCATAGTTATTGCCCTGGGCCTGGCAAGGTGACTCACACCTCTCATCCTAGCACTTTAGGAGACTGAGGCAGGAGGATAGCTTCAGCCCCAGAGGTAAAGGCTGCAGTGAGCCTTAATTGCACTACTGCCCTCCAGCCTAGGTGACAGAGCAAGATGCTGTCTGAAGATAAGAATAAAAAGAAGTTGATAAATAAATATATGTTTATATATTAACTGATTTTATTAACTATATATATATATATATATATATATATAGTTGTTGTCTTAGTCTATAGGCAATCTTACAGTGCTTAAGACTTTGATACTGAGAACAGATCTCCTAGGTATATGCTGTGTTTCTGGGGTGACATGATGCTCTCATCTGGCCTCCGTGAGCCTAATTCTATCTTACATTTACCCCACTCTTCAACAACAACTTGGGGAGGTGTCCCTAAACATTCCTAGGTAAACCCAAACCTGTGGCCCTCAACACATTTCTAGGTAAAGCAAGCTCCTGACATATCTGTGGATATCCTCTCATTGGAAGAAGGGGGAAGAGACCATCTCAAAATAATTCATTTAATATAGCTTTTCAGCATTAATTTTATTTTGAGAAAGAGACACACAGTAAATAAAATTTCTAAAAAACTATGAACTTTCAAGCATTCTCATGCTAAATCTAGCCCTGCTCACATGCCAGGGAAATAAAAATGTAATCTGTTTCTCAACCTGACCAGGATGCTACAGTAATTAAAAATAAACTCAATCCCTGGATCCCTACCAAAGGGTCATTTCATATGGATCAAAGTTCTGGTAAAATTATTTGTCTGGAAATAGACTAATTCTCCAAAATATAATTGAAATAGCCTCTGGAAAGGGCCAAATACGACTCTTAATGATACAACAGGTAAATATAGGTCTGATGTTCATTCCGTGTGGACAACAATAGCAGCCATTCCCACAAATGGCTCATTTGTGGGAAGTAAACACTACTTTTGCAGAATCTTACATGATTTCAGTAGAAGGGCAAGGACATTTCAGTTGGGAACAGATTGCTCCATGGTAATGTGATCACTATGTACCCAACAATGGCTCTTTCTTCCTAACGTCAATGCAGATGTTATTTTCACCTTAACTATTATCATTGCTGTTTCTAACCACATAAAAGTGTATCCTTTATATATCTGAAGTAAATTCATACTAGTGGTGTAACATCTCCAGCCATTTAAATGTAAAAACAGAAAACGTATGATGTGTTGATTTACTGTTTTATACTCCTAACGCATGAAGAGAAGATCCTTTTATTCATTGCCTATACTTTTATTTCTAAACTTTCTGTAACACTTTATCTTATATCCAGCATAGAACTGAGATTTGCTTTTTGATTTAATCTGACAATATTTTTCCTCTAATAAGAGTCAAGCCACTTACTTTTAATGATAAATTGTGTTTGTTTATATTTTGATTGCCGTATATTATGCTATGATTTAGATGCACATATCTGTCTTTTGCTGTCTTGTTTGTTTTTATTGCTTTTGTTTTGATGTTGTGATATTTGGAAGAGTTAAACTTTTATTCTGATGGCTACCTTATGTAATTTCATAAAATCATCTCTTTCTTTAGACAGTAGCGAATGTCTCTAAACTAAGAACAATGGTATTAGCTGTATTCTCTTTCTTGTCCTCCCTACGTGATTTTTCATCCCACAATTTGATTTAATCATATTAACTTTGTTTCCCCTGGTGCCATTAAGTATGCTTACATTTCTATAAACAATATCCTTTGACTCCCAGGCATTACAGATGAGCAGTCAGTAAAATCATTCTGAGGAATGCTTTCTCTTTCCTTTTCTTCCATTTTTCTTAGTTGTATCATTTCTATATTGCCAGAGCACCTACAGTTGCATTTCTTTCTGTCAGCTTTATCCAGCATTTGTTTTTGTCTTTTATTTGAAGTTAAATATATTCCTTGTTCACTACAACACTGGGGGAAGGAAGGTTTCTGTTGTCATTGTTGTGCTTGTACAGTTGTTTATTTAAAAACATTGGCGAAAACAAAAACTGTATGTAGATGGAGTGGAGATAAGACAGCAAATGAGAGAGACTGATGATGAGTGTGCCTATTCTAGACTGGGAGGCGTGCTACACTGAGTAGTGTCTCAAGGCCACAGGAAAGGATGGTTGATTGTGAGCAGGTGGACTTTCCACTGGAGGAGAGAAGTCCTGCGCTCAACAACCTGTGCAGAACCAGAAACTGGTAATGCTTCAAATCAACTTACAGACCTGGAGGTAGAAATTTAAGAAAACTCGTTTAGCACCTAGTTACCTAGAAAATATTAGCAACTATTTGCTGAGCATCTATCAGTCTGTCTGTAGCATGGAAGACCTGAGTACAGGGGAAACTGGATTAGTAACAGTGGGTCAGAAAATTATATAATATTCAACCAAAATTCCTGCTTTACATACACAGCACCTGGTATTTCCAGAACTAGAAGGTAAAGAAATTATTTGTGCTTGAACTTGCAGAAAACTGCCTTTTCCCTTCTTCTCTTGCATCTTAACCTGGAGCTTCCTTTTCTTGAGCCTCAGTGTGCTTCCCAACTCAATTTATAGTTGACTTCCTGCAGTTTCTCTTTAGGACAGGGCTTTATTTTGGGGGTGGTTAATTTGTAGGGTTCATAGGAAACAGACCACTCACAGCACCTGCTTTTTGCCATCCTCACTCTCAGCTATGAGTTGAGGCCCAGGAAGCCTTCTGCCAGCCTCAGCTGCTGTTCTCAGATTAATCTGCTGAGTTCTTTTCGCCTAGTAAGAATCTCTGAATTTAGGAACATAGATGTTAGCGCTTGTATTTCTAGGTTTTCCAGTTCCCAGGGCCATTAAACATTTTTTTCTTTCCTTTCCTTCTTCCAAAAAAATTGGTGATTCGCCTGGTTCCCTCTGGTTTAACCTCACAAAAGGTCCATGATGACACCCTGTTACATTGTTTTGTCATAGTTAATACCTTGTTATCCCAGTTGCTCAGTCAGTTTTGTGAGAGATTCAGGGATATTAATAAAACTGTGCTGCTGCTTCTACTAACACCTTGCATAAAAGTCCTATTAATTAAAATGTTTATTTTGCATGTGATTTGAACTTGTAATTTTTATTCAAAGTTTTTCAACAGAGATCCAGAAAAGACCCTCATTATATTTTTAGTTTTGTGCATTGCAACACTTTTTAGTGAAAAAAAAAATACATGAGAACAACACAAGTGATTTTAAAAGAATAAACCTACAATCCATTAATTATAAAATGAAATACTATGCAGGTGTTAAGAATGAGGAAATCAATAAGAACTTGTGTGGGGTAACTATAAACTTTAAAAAAAAAATTAATGCTCATGTGACCATATTATCGTTAAAAAAATACAAGCATACTTGCACACACCTTCAAGCAAAATGGGTACACGCATTTAAAAATATTTAAATTAAGTAAATGGCCCAATAATTTAACTTTGTATAATTCTATGTTCTCCGATTATTTTATATGCTAGAAACAGGCATTACTGTTGTGTTTATTTCATTTGAAATAATTGTAGTCACATGAGGTTTAAGTTATAATACAGAGAGGTCACATATGCCTATTTTCTAATTGGATACCTTATTTATTACTGTTGAGTTTTGAGAATTTTTTACATATGCTAGATGTAAGTTCTTTGTCAGATATATGGTATGCAAATTATTTCTCCCAGTCTGTAATTCATTTTTTCAACCTCTTTACAGGGTCTAAGTAAAAAAAAAAAAAAAAAAGTGTTTATTTATTTTAATGAAGTCCAGTTTTATCACTTTTTCCTTCTGTAGATTTTGTTTTCAACATCAAGCCTAAAAATTCTTTGCCTAGCCCAAGGTCTCAAGAGTTTTCTTCTATTTTAAAAAGTTTAATGAATTTATTTATTTATTAATTATTTTTGAGACGAG
This sequence comes from Homo sapiens, assembly GCF_000001405.40. Lineage (NCBI taxonomy): Eukaryota > Metazoa > Chordata > Mammalia > Primates > Hominidae > Homo > Homo sapiens. Next base: position 73,264 of record NT_187380.1, read on the forward strand.
GTTTCGCCGAAGCTGTAGTGCAGTGGTGTCATCATTGCTCACTGCAGCCACTAACAGCTGGATTGAAGTGATCCTTCCACCTCAGCCACTTGAGTAGTAGCTGGGATTACAGGCACGAGCTACCATACACAACTTTAAGTTTTATAATATTGCATTTTACATTTAAGCCTGTGATTTATGTGAGCTAAATTTTATATAAAGTATAAATTTAGGTCAGTCTTAGTTTTTGTACCTGTGAATGTCCAATTGCTCTAGCACCATTTGTTGAAAAAGATATCCTTCCTTTAAACTGATTTTGCATCCTTGTAAAAAAAAATCAGATGAATATAGTGTGGTCTGTCACCTTTTAATAAGATAAAAACATTGGCACTCACCAGATATCGAAGTTTAGAAATTTTTTTAAAGCTAAACTTCTGAAGATAGAATAAAAACACCTTCACATGTCAAATTAGTCAATTTGTATAGGACTAATTCATTTAAATATATTAAAATACAAAATAATTCAAACCACTAAAGTGATAATACAAGACTATAAATTTAAAGGCTAATTATTAAGTCAAATTGCTGTATTCTACGTGTTAGAGTGAGTTCAAAAGATCCATTGTATTACTGAATAGGCAAAAGTTTTAATTTCAGAGAATGAAACTGATATATTACTGCCACCTTGTGGATATTCTGTTATTACAGGCTATTATAAAAAGCAATAAGGGTATGTAATCTGTTCTAACAAGAAGCGTTTCCTTTTTTTGTCGCTTTTATTATTGTTATTATTACGTTTTAAGTTCTGAGATACATGTACATAACGTGGAGGTTTGTTACGTAGGTATACACATGCCATGGTGGTTTACTGCACCCATCAACCCATCATCTACATTAGGTATTTCTCCTAATGCTATCACTCCCCGAGCCTCCCACCCCCCTGACAGGCGCCGGTATGTGATGTTCCCCTCCCTGTGTCCATGTGTTCTCATTGTTCAACTCAAAAGAAAAACAGAAGCATTTTCTGCTTTCCTAATTTCTTAAATACAATGCAACTTTATGTTTAATTTAACTAACTTAATTTTTTGAGACAAGGTCTAGCTCTGTTGCCCAGGCTGGAGTGGAGTGGCGTGAATATGGTTCAGTGAAACCTCCACCTCCCTGGCTCAAGTGATCCTCCTTCTTAAGCCTCTCGAGTAGCTAGGACCACAGGCACGCACCACCATGGCCAGCTAATTTCTTTTTTATTTTTTATAGAGATGAGGTCTCACTTTGTTGTCCACGCTGGTCTCAAACTCCTGGGCTCAAAGGATCCTCTTGCCATGGCCTTCCACAGCGCTGGGATTTATAGGTGTGTGCCATGGCACCAGGCCTAAGCAACTGTAGAGAAGCCTTTTTTTCTTTCATAAAAACAGTTGTAGATATTTTCCTTATGGAATTTATTTGTGGTGAAATATTTTAATAGACAATTTAATTTGTTAAATAATTTGTCTCAGATAATAATAATTGATTAATATTAAAACTACAAAACAAGTAGGGTCTTCTTTTTCTATGAAAAATGAAAGTTGATTCTGACATTTATGTAAACATTTTAAATATTCAAAGTATATAAATGTGAAGTCCTATCAAGAGTAATTAGACAAGAGAAAGAAATAAAGGGCATTCAGATCGGAAAGGAGGACATCAAATTGTTCCTATTTGCAGATGACATGATCTTATATATAGGAAAACCTGAAGACTCTACCAGAAAACTTTTAGAACAAACAAATTCAATGAAGTTGCAAGACACAAAACTAATACACAAAGATTGGTTGCATTTATATTTATGAACAACAAACTCGCTGAAAAAGAAATTAAGAAGGCAAACCCATTTACAATACTTACCAAAAATAACCCAGACATAAATGTAACCAAGGAGGTAAAATGAAAACTACAAAACACTAATGAAAGAAATTGAAGAGGATACAAACAAATGAAAAGACATTCACACTCATGGATCAGAAATATGAATGTTGTTAAAGTGACAGTACTACTCAAAAGTAACCTACAGATTCAATGCAATCTCTATCAAAATACCTATGAACATTCTTCACAAAATAAAAAAAAATCCAAAGAGATTTTATGGAATCAAAAAATATCCTGAATAGCCAAAGCCATCCTAAGCAAAAAGAACAAAGCTGGATGTATCATGCTACCAGACCTCAGAATATACTACAAAACTGTAGTAACCAAAACATCATGGTATTGGCATAAAAACAGACACATAGACCTATGGAATAGAATAAAGAACCCAGAAAATCCACATATCTCAGCCAACAGATTTTTTACAAAGATGCCAAGAACACTCATTGGGAAAAGGATAGTCTCTTCAATAAATGGTGCTGGAAAAACTGGATATCCATATGCAGAAGAATGAAACTAGACCTCTGCCTCTCACCCTATACAAAAATCAACTCAAAGTACCTCAAATACCCAAATATAAGACCCAAAATGGTAAAGCTACTAGAAGAAAACATAGGGGAGATCCTTCAGGACATTGCTCTGGGAAAATATTTTATGAATAAGGCATCAAAAGCACAGGCAACAAAAGAAAAAATAAACAAATGGGATCACATCAAGCTAAAAATCTTCTGCACAGCAAAGGAAATAATAAAGTGAGTGAAAAGACAACCTACAGAATGGGAGAAAATATAAACTCATCTGGCAGGAAATTAATATCAAGAATATACAAGGAATTCAAACATATCAACAGCAAAGAAGCACAACAATCTAATTAAATATAAACAAATGCTCTGAACAGACATTTCTCAAAAGAAGACATACAAATGACCAACAAATATATGAAAAAATGTTCAACACCACTAATCAGCAAGGAAATGCTAATCAAAGCCACAGTGAGGCATCATCTTACTCCAGTTAGGATGGCTATTATAGAAGAGACAAAAATAACAAATGCTGACAAAGACGTGAAGAAAAGGGACCTTTTTTTGACAGAATCTCACTCTCTGTCCAGGCTGGAGTGCAGTGGTGGTGTAATCTGGCTCCCTCTGCTTCTAGGGTTCAAATAGTTCTCCTCCCTCAGCCTCCTGAGTAGCTGAAGAAAAAGGAACTCTTATGCACTGTTGGTAGGAATGTAAATTAGTGCAGCCAGTATGGAGAACAGTATTGAAACACCTCAAGCAATCCCACTACTGGGAATTTATCCAAAGGAAAGAAAAGCATTATATTGCAGAGACATCTACATCCCCCATGTTTATTGCAACAGTGTTCACAATAGCCAAGATATGGAATCAACCTAGGTTTCCAACAACAGAGGAATGGATTTTTAAAATATGGTATATATACACCACGGAATGCTATTTAGCCATAAAAAAGAATAAATAAAATCCTGTCATTCTCAGCAACTTGGATGGAACTGGAGAATATTATGTTAAGCAAAATAAGCCAGGAATAGAAATTTCAACACCACATGTTCTCACTCACGCAGAAGCTAAAAAAAAGCTGATCTCATAGAAGTAAAAAGTAGAACAGAGGATAATGCAGGCTGAAAAGGGTAGGGAGAAAGGAGGAATAGTAAGATATTTGTTAATGGATACAAAATTACAGCTAGGTAGGAGTAATAAGTTCTAGTGTTCTATAGTACTGTAGATGACTATAGTTAACAATACTATATTATGTAGTTTAAAATACCTAGGAGTAGTTTGAATGTTCCCAACACAAAGAAATAATAAATGTTTGAGATGATAGATATGCTAATTACCCTGATCTGATCACCATCTACATGTACTGAAACATCCCCATATAGCCATGAATATGTATAATCTTTGTCAATTTAAAAATTAAAAAAAAAAATCTTGGAGAATGCATTTGAAGGACTTGTACTCAAGAAATCAACTTAAGAACCTCAGTCTCCTTGGAATTTGTGTTTTCTAGACCAGTATTTCTCCAAATTAAAGCAAATTTAGGCTAGGCATGGTGGCCCATGTCTATAATCTTAGCACTTTGGAAGGCCGAGGCGGGCAGATCACTTGAGGTCAGGAGTTCGAGACCAGCTGACCCAACATTGTGAAACACTGTCTCTACTAAAAATACAAAAATTAGCTGGGCATGATGGCATGTGCCTGTAATCCCAGCTACTTTGGAGGCCGAGGCAAGATAATCGCTTGAACTGGAGAGGTGGAAGTTGCAGTGAGCTGAGATTGCACCACTGCGCTCCAGCCTGGGCAACAGAGCAAGACTCTGTCTCAAAAAAAAAAAAAAAAAAAAAGCAAATTTAGTTCACTTTGGTATTTTGTCAAAATGTTGATTCTTTTAAAGTAAATCTAAAGAATTTAGATGTAGTTGAAGCTTGTCATCTGTTCTTAATTTTTTTAATAAAAATATAATATTTCGATTCAGAGTAAATCTAAAGTGAGACCTGAAGCTGCTCCCAGGTGATACTGATGCTGCTTATTTTTGCCCAGATTTTGAGTCACAAGGTTCTAAATTATTGGTTTGAAGTCCTACATGAGTAATCACTTGGGGAGCTCAATTAACACCCAGACTAATTATTAATAAACCAGAATCTTCAGTATTAGGCTTCAATCATTAGCAATTTTTTTTGACACACAGTCTCCCACTGTCGCCCAGGCTGAAGTCCTGAGGCCAGAATGAGACTAGGACATGGTTCCTTTGTCTAAGTAAAGTGAGGCAGACAATGGAATACTTCAGACTTCAAATTAGTATGGTAAGTGCTATGAAGAGTATGATTAGAGTTCATTACTTACCCAGAAAAGGGTCACTCAGCCCAGCCTGGGAGTTAGAGAAGGTTTCCTGAAGTCTTGACATGTGAGTCATGAAAGGACATAAGGAGTTAAACACGTGACAAAATAAGCTAAGAGAATTCTCAACAAAAGACAAAATATTGCCAAAGGCTTTTAGGCATATACTATCTTAGTATTATTGGTAGAATGTAATGACTTTCTGTATTTCAAAAGTGTAAAATACAAAGTGGGCCATGGTATGAGATAAACCAGTAAATATGTTCTGGGAACATATCATAGAAGGGCGTGTATGCTGTCCTAAGGAGCTTAAACTTCAACTTCAGTTCATGGGAGCCAATGACAAGATCTGAGCAGGGGAAGGATGTGGCTAGAGGGGCATTTTAGACAGACAAGATCCTCTGTGGATTACACCTAGGCTAAGCAACGGGTTAAAGTTGTTGTCTTAAGACAATAGTCCAGGTAAAAGATAATAAAGTTTTAAATTAGGATGTTAGTAGGAATGAGGAAGACGGATGGATTTCAGAAATAGTAAGGAAATGTATTAGCAGGACTTGATTAGTGATTGACTTGGGGAAGGAGGGGAAGATAGAGTTCAGGATGACTCCGAGACTGTCTGGTGTCGGTGGCTAATGACTGAAGCTATTAATAGAGGTAGGTAATGCAGACCAAAAGCAGGCCCGGGGTGAGAGATGATAAATTTGAATTTTAACATGTTGAGTTTGGACATCCAGGATGAAATAACCACAAAACATTTAAATATACGAATCTGAAAAGGTAAGCATCATAAGCATATGAGCTATTGGTAAAATTCTGATACTTAATGAAGTCTCGCAGGGAGGCAGTACAGAGGCAAGCAATGGGCTGGGGATAAAACATAGGGAAATATTATTTAAATAAAGATGAAAGAAAAGGAGCCCACAAACGAAGCTGAAAAGGCATAGTCAAAAAAAGAGGATTGCCAAAGTGCCACCTTTGAAGCTCTGCTGTTACACTTTATAAGGAAAGTTTTGGTTACCTGGGATTGCATGCATTTATAAAAGTTTCTATTATTAGGAAGACAATAATAATGATAAGGCCCTTTCTCATTGTTGTCAGTGTAATTTATCTATTTAATTATAGAACCTAGTTCCAGGATGCTTAATCTGAAGTATATACTTGGGGCAAAATGAATTATATCTTAATAATAATCTGGAATTATTCTCTCTAACTTGACATATTTTTAATTCTTGCTAGATTTTCAAAACGTCATACCTCGAACCACCACCAGATGGCTATGAGAATGTTACAAATATTGTGCCACCATATAATGCTTTCTCAGCCCAAGGCATGCCAGAGGTAAAATAAAATGCATTTGTAACCCAAGTCTTTAAATGGTTCTTTTGCTATATAAAACCTGTATAGAGGACTAAAACCACGGAAATTAGGTGAATCATTCATGCGGATTCATTGTTTGATATTCAGTACTATGAAAACCTCATCCCTCAAATTTAAAAAATTATAATAAAATAGAAAAGAACACCAGACAGAGAAAAAAGAAACAAAACAAACACATTAAAAACTGACCCTGCTGAAGCAGATGCCACTCTTTGAAATAACAAAGAAACTGCTGAACACGCCTTTAATTCAGTGAGGCAGTAGGTGTTTTTTTGTTTGTTTTTGTTTCGTTTTGTTTTTTTGAGATGGAGTTTCGCTCTTGTCACCCAGGCTGGAGTGTAGTGGCAAAATCTGGGCTCACTGCAACCTCCGCCTCCCAGGTCCAAGCAATTCTCTTGCCTCAGCCTCCTGAGTAGCTGGGATCACAGGTGCACACCACCACACCCTGCTAATTTTGTATTTTTTTTAGTGGAGGCGAGGTTTCTCTATGTTGGTCAGGCTAGTCTCAAACTCCCAAACTCAGGTGATCGGCTCACCTCGGCCTCCCAAAGTGCTGGGATTACAGGCGTGAGCCACCACGTTATAAAGGGAAACTTCCTATTTGCCCTCTAAATGTTTGCAGAAAATGAATGGACAAAACATAAATTAATAGAAGAAAGAGGCAAAAAAAAATTCTGTAAAATGTAGGGGAAAAATCACAGGGTCTCTCTGTTACCCAGCATGAAATGCAGTGGTGTGATCATGGCTCATTGCAACCTTGAATTCTGAAGCACAAGTGATTCTCCCCCCTAAGCCTATGGTGTAGCTGGGATCACAGGGGCATGCCACCATGCACACATACATGGTTATTTGCTGGAGAGGAGATGGAGACTCTCTGTCCTGGATGTGAGACAGTTGGCTGGCATCTGGGTAAGGATGACATTACCTCATTGCTAAAGAGTAAAAGAGGAAAGTGTCATGGATAGTGCAAGCAGGGACATGCCCTGACCTAGTGAGGTCCAGAGGCTTATATTGTCCTTCATAGGGGAGTGGGAAGAAGCGAGTGTAGGCAACCCAGGGGAAATAAATGACCTAAAATAAAAGAAATAGATCATCAGAAGTGTAGATGTATTAGTCAGGGTTCTCTAGAGTGACAGAATTAAAGGACTATATACATATATATATGAAAGGGAGTGACATGGTTAATAATGAGTGTCAACTTGATAGGATTGAGAGATATGAAGTATTGATCCAGGGTGTGTCTGTGAGAGTGTTGCCGAAAGAGATTAACATTTGAGTCAGTGGGCTGGGGAAGGCAGACCCACCCTTAATCTGGTGGGCACAATCTAATCTGCTGCCAGCAAATATAAATCAGGCAGAAAAATTTGAAAAGGAGAGACTGGCCTAGCCTCCCAGCCTACATCTTTCTCCCATGCTGGTTTCTTCCTGCCCTCAAACATTGGACTCCATGGCTCTCCTTTCTCATCAGTTTGCAGACAGCCCATTGTGTAACTTATGATCCTGTAAGTTAATAAACTCCCCTTTATAAATAAATATATATATGTGTGTGTGTGTGTGCATATATATATGTATGTGTGTGTGTATATATATATGTATATATCCTGTTAGTTCTGTCCCTCTAGATGTCACTGTCTAATACAGGAAGTTTATTAAGTATTAACTCACACAATCACCAAGTCTCACAATAGGCCATCTGCTGGATGAGGAGCAAAAAGAGCCAGCCAGAGTTCCAAAACTGAAGAACTTGGAGTCCATGTTCGAGGGCAAGAAGCATCCAGCATGGGAGAAAGATGTAGGCTGGGAGGCGAGGCCCGTCTCTTTTCACATTTTTCTGCCTGCTTATAGTATGGCTGGGTTGGCAGCTGATTGGATTGTGCCCACACAGATTAAGGGTGGGTCTGCCTTTCCCAGCCCACTGACTCACATGTTAATCTTTTTTTGGCAACACCCTCACAGACACACCCAGGATGAATACTTTACATCCTTCAATCCAATCAAGTTGACACTCATTATAAACCATCATAAGCCCACCCCTTGTGAACTTGAACCCACGCACATCTCCTGAGATCATACATAATCTTAAAATACAGACAATAGTTAGGTCATAATTACCCCAACATAATAAACTATCCTTCCTACAACTGGAAATGCACCAATCCTCAACCCAAATACTATTACATAAAGTAAACAATACTTAAATGCTGATATGAGGTGAGCAAATCTATGTCACCTGATAAAGAAAAGGGAAATGAAATGAAGATATTTTCTTAGTACAAGTGCATACATGCACAAACATGTTTTTAACAAAAGAAGAAGGAAATACTCATGATAGTTCCAGTCCTCATTTCTGCAGCTGGTCAGGTGGTCGTAGCTGGTATTGATAACTACTTTCTTCCACTATTCATTCTGTATTCCCTTTGCCTTCAGCAAGCAGCTCAGCAGGTCGTGACCCGGAGAGGATCTGGACCATTTGTAGTCCTACCTGGATTGGGTATAGTTTCCCATTTAACTTAATCAGAGTGCATGATAATACCAAGAGATGCCCTAATGGATCTCCTATATTCCATGCATACTCTTCCTCACTTCCGTTGTGGAGTAGTGGACTGACTTCATCTTGATAGTCTGGGTCAATCACTGCCGCCAACACTGTAACTCCATTCTTAGCTTGTTGACTTAAAGGTAGGAGGACCCCAAAGCGTCCAAGTGGCCATCTTAACTTCCAGTTTAATGGAATCCTTATTGTGTCTCCTGGTAGCAACGTTCTTCCCTCTGGAGCTAAGATGACTAGTAAAGCAGAACCTAATGTCGTGGGAACAGAAAGCAAACATTTTGCTAGTGCATCATAGTGAGTGGTTCCACTTTCACATCCACCCCTTGAATCCTGGATCTGTGAATACTGGCTATGGGAGAAACAATACCATACGTTGGGCGCTGATTCAGAGCACACATGGTCTTCTGGAGTATGGTGCCCCGGCCCGGCCAAGTATTGTAACCTAGTTGACGTTGTAATCGCGACCTCAAAAGGCCGTCCCACCATTCTATCAATCCAGATGCTTCAGGAAGATGGTGAATATGGTAAGACCAGTGAATTCCGTGAACGTGAGCCCATTGCCTCACTTCTTCACCTGTAAAGTGAGTGCTTGGTCAGAGGTAATGCTGTGTGGAATACCGTGATAGTGGATAAGGCATTCCTTGAGTCCATAAATAGTAGTCTTGGCAGAAGCATTGCATGCAGGTAGGTAAACTCATATCCGGAGTAAGTGCCTGTTCCAATGAGGACAAACCTCTCTCCTTTCCATGGTGGAAGAGGTCCAATATAATCAACCTGTCACCGGGTAGCTGGTCGATCACCCCAGGGAATGATGCCATACAAAGAGTTCACTGTTAGTCTCTGCTGCTGCTGGCAAATTGGGCACTCAGCAGTGGCCACAGACAGTTCAGCCTTGGTGAGTGGAAGTCCACATTGCTGAATCCATGCATAGCCTCCATCCCTGACACCATGGCCACTATGTTCATGGTCTCATTGGACAATGACAGGGGTGTCTGAGGAAAGAGGCTGAGTGGTATCCACAGAACGGGTCATCTTATCCACTTGATTATCAAAATCCTCCTCTCCTGAAGTCACTTGTTGGTCAACACTCACACAGGGTACAAATATCTTCAGTTTTTGACCACTCAGAGAGGTCCATCTACATACTCTTTCTCCAAGTTTCTTTGTCACCAATTTTCCAATCATGCTTCTTCCAAGTCCCTGACCATCCAGCCAAACCATTGGCTACAGCCCATGAATCAGTATATAACCGCACATCTGGAAATTTCTCCTTCCATGCAAAGTGCACAATCAGGTGCACTGCTCAATGTTCTGCCCACTGGGAAGATTTTCCTTCACCACTCTCCTTCAGGGATGTCCTAGAAAGGGGCTGTAGTGCTTCAGCTGTCCACTTTTGGGCGGTACCTGCCTATTGTGGAGAACCATCTGTGAACCAGACCCTAGTCCTCCCTTCCTGTGTTAACTGCTCAAAGGCAAGTCCCCATGAGGTCATCAGTGCAGGCCATGGGAGAGAAAGCAGGGTGGCAGGGTGGGCATTTGAGCCACTTCCTCATGTAACTTACTTGTGCCCCCCAGGACCTGCTTGAGCCCAATCACTTATACACCATTTCCATTTGATGATGCAATGCTGCTGTGCATGACCCACTTTATGGCTACATGAGTCAGAAAGCACCCAGTTCACGATAGGCAGTTCAGGTCGCGTGGTGACTTGTTGACTCATAGTCAAATGTTCAGTTTCCACAAAAGCCCAGTATAAGACAAGAGCTGTCTCTCAAAAGGAGAGTAGTTAACTGGAGAAGATGACCACGCCTTGCTGCAAAATACTAGAGGACTGCACCATGATTCACCTATAGAGGCCTGCCAAAGCCTCAAAGCAGCATTCCTATCTGCCATGGACACCTCAGGGGGACCCAGCCTCCCCTTCATTCAAGGGGTTCTGGGTCTGTAAACTGGCTCAAGGCTGGAAATTGATTGAGGGGCCATGAATCTCTGTTTTTATAATTCCAATTAGTCTTTTATCTGTTTGACCTTAAGTTTCCTCCTTACATAAATTAAGTAGGAATGCATTAGTTTTCCTGTCAGTTTCACTTCTAGGAACACTGTGATTAGTTAGCCAATGCCAGAGCTCTACATGAGTCAGACTGTTCAGATTGCTGCTTTGTCTTTTCTGCCCATTACGGTAGCTACACCCACCATGCCTTTGAGGGTTGAGTGCTACCACTTGGCCCCTGCCACTTCAGGATCCAATTATTCCAAATTGTATTTAACTTTTGTAACTGAGTGACTGCAGTTCTCACCATTAGAACTGACATACAGAGAAGAGCCTTTACAGGGCTCTTCAAAGATGCAGGCGCTCTCCTCACAAATCTATTTTGCAAGGTGTTTGTCAAGGGTATTAGGTACAGAGTCACTAAACTCCTTGCCTCTCACGAGCGATGATTCATTAGTGTCGAATGAATTTGTTTTGCATAGCTCTTTAAACCTTTCATGCCAAGAACTGTCAATGTTCTCTACACTATTAAAAGTAGAGTCCTTAGCATTTTGGGATCTAATCATATTTAGCAGCCAAATCCAGAAACCCCAAAACCAACAAAAGAACTCCAACCTTAATATTCTGTTCCTGCAGAACCATTCCTGGTACCAAAATCTGTATTAGTGAGGGTTCTCTAGAGGGACAGAACTAATAAGTTCTATATATATATATATGGGTTTATTACATATTATTACATATTAACTTACAGGATCACAAGGTCCCACAGTAGGCTGTCTGCAGGCATGAGGAATGAGGAGTAAGGAGAGCCAGCTCGAGTCTCAAAACTAAAGAACTTGGAGTCCGATGTTCAAGGGTAGGAAGCATCCAGCACGGGAGAGAGATGTAGGCTGGGAGGCTGGGCCAGACTCACTTTTTCACTTTTTTTCTGCCTGCTTTATATTCACTGGCAGCTGATGAAATGGTGCCCATAGATTAAGCAGGGGGTCTGCCTTCCCCAGACTACTGACTCAAATATTAATCTCCTTTGGCAACACCCTCACAGACTCACCCAGGAGCAATGCTTACATCCTTCAATGTAATCAAGTTGACAATCTGTATTAACTATCACAGGATTACAGACCTGAGCCATCACACATAGTGTTATTGTATATTTCATACAATTTCCTGATTTTCCCATTTTATCTGTGACTTAATAAAGTTTTTCAGCTATGACCCCAAACTGTTAATACTTGAAAGCACATTCAAATGTATTTTGCAACAATTCGTAACTGGCAAAATGTTGAGCCTTGTGGAAAGAGTCACCTTACTTCCCCGTCAGCTGTCAATTCCCCATCACTACTATCACTTCTGGGAGCACATTTTCCAAAACTCCTTTTCTCTCTATGGTTTCTTTAGAGTTGCTCCACGAGGTCACAATAAGTTACAACTAATTACTGTCATGAGATTGGGAAGTCAGAGTGGTGGATTCATGTACACTGACACCTGAAGTAAAGCACATGCTGTTAGGTGTGGACTGGAGAATCACCTGGAGATGTGCTGCAGGCAGCTGAGAGCATCAGCACCCCCAGCTCTGGGCTTCCCAGACAGGACTGAGGATCATCACACGGTGTTCAGCACATACCACCAGGGGCAGGTGAACCCTGGCTTCTGAAGTAACACCTGAGAATCCCCTGTGTCTAGTACCTGCTTCATGAATAACACTCCATAGGCTTCAGAAAGACTGTGGTTTAGACTCTAATTTATTCAACTTGAATAATTTCTCCTTGAAATACTGAGAATAGCTTCTCTTTTGCTGTACAAATTCCGATTATCCCATAACACAGACTCCTCAGCTGGACTTATCTCTCTTCTTTATTCAGTCAGGACAGTCATTGTCACGTCTTTTCTGCTGGGGATGAGGATGAAAGAGGCTTAGGGTTCAGAGGAACCTCCCTGGCCTCCTCTAGGAAAATCTCCCTATGACTTTCCAAACCTGACTGAGTTTGAGAACTTTTCTCAGCAGACAGAGGCACCAGAAGGAGCATTGGGGCAGCCCAGCCTCATGCATCTGCTTCCTTGGGGTTTATGTTATGACTTGTAACACTGTGGGAGGGGTACTGTCACTCTGTTGACAGTAATAAGTTGCAAAATCTTCAGGCTGCAGGCTGCTGATGGTGAGAGTGTAATCTGTCCCAGATCCACTGTCACTGAACCGAGAGGGAATCCCACTTTGCAGACTGGATGCAGCATAGATCAGGAGCTTAGGAGTTTTCCCTGGTTTCTGCTGATACCAATTTAAATTATTGCTAATGCCCTGACTCGCCCGGCAAGTGATGGTGACTCTGTCTCCTACAGATGCAGACAGGGAGGATGGAGACTGGGTCATCTGGATGTCACATCTGGCACCTGAAGTTGGAAACATAAAAACAAATATTCTTGCAATTAATCATGTTATCAGAGGACTTCCCTGAAGTTCCAGACAGTACTGAGCACACTGACCAAGTATAATCCTAGTGTTCTCCTTCCTTACCTGGCAGCCAGAGCACCAGGAGCCCCAGGAGCTGAGTGGGGGCCCTCACATCTGTGCTGTGTCCTGACTGGGACTGACTCCTGCACCGGGTGTGACCAGCCTATAAAAAGTCTTCAGGGCAGGGGGTTGTGCTTTAGGAACAGGCAAATCAGCAGGGGATGGGGCAGGCTGAGCACAGCTGCGGGGCTGGCTCATTTCAGTAACTCAGCACAGGGGCGCAGTATCCCCAGAGTCCCAGGTCAGACCAGGGCAGCACAGATTTACCTTGAAAGAATACATTTCTCATTGGTGGCCATACGGTTACAGAACATATTTTTGGAGTGAATTTTCAAAATTTTAAATCAACCTAAGCCTAGATTAAATAATATATTTATACTTGTATTAGGAGTGTATAGGGAAGCATCACTTTTGGCAGAAAATTTACAATAAAGTTGTAGAATGTGGGGCTGTCAGAAATTTCAGTTAGCCTCAAAGGAATTTGAAGAGTGTAAAAGTATTTAGTGCTATAATAACAATGTCTCTGTCAGTGTGAAATTTCTTCTTTTTTGAAATGAATATAAAAAGAATTTATCAGAAGAATCTTTAATAAATTCAATAGAATTTACTAACAAACTTAAGACATTGTTCCTAGGAGTAAAAGGAAAAACAATTCTCTGAAGATGCACAAAGATGATAACTGTGTCACGCATAGATCTGCCATTATCCAGAGCTATGGGTCTCTTTAAGACCCAGGGGCTAAATGGGCTGCACCTTATTCTTGGTGTGATGATCCCCATATTCTATCCCCTTTCCTGCCTTTGGTATAATTTCTTATGGTTCTCCAGCATGGAGAGCTGACTAGTAATACCAGGTCTCATTATTTCAACTAAAATCTCTGTTTCACTCGCTGACTATAGGAGCCTGGATTAAAATCAACTTGAAGCCCTCTATCAATCTAGGCTCAAATAGTCAATTGTTTCAAAGTAGGATGACAAAGGCCACATCCCCTGAGTAATGCTCTGAGCTGCGCTCCCCACCAGCCTGTTCTTGGGGTCTCAGGAGCATTTGCCCTAGAGTCTGGCTTTCTGGAGAGCAGGTGAGGGGGGAAAAGCCAGGTCAGTGAACCTCTCTCCTTAGCGAGGGCAGTTGCTGCCCAATGCATGTCCTTGCCATGCACCAGGGCAACATCCTGACCCAGATGCCAGCCACCCTGTCTCACATCCATTTAGAGAGAATCTCCATCTTCTGCCAAGACACTGCCCATGTAGATGAAAAAGTATTTTGCATCCAAACATATCTTAAGCACTGATTTGAACCTCAATACTTCACACAGATGTCTTTGTCCAGGGTGTGTCAGCCTGGCTCAACAGCAGGGGAAGTGGAGCCAATTACGTCAGTGTCAGTGGACTGAGAAACACTCCAGGGAGTAGTTCTCATGCACGACTACCAGTGGCCAGACCAAGGTAGTGCAGCCTGTGCACAAACCTCCTGCTGCTTTTCCAGAGGACTGGATTTCTGGGAAATGGCTACTGAACAGGCTGCCAGGATCCATATATCCAGATTCAGAGAGATACATCTCTGGATTCAAATGCGCTTCTTCTTTGTGCATAATTTTTGCAGTCATTGTTACTACGCCTTGGGGATTCTAGTCATTATACTTCAGCCGACTCTCTATGGCCCTTTCTCCCCTTCACTGCTCTATCTGAACCTGGGGAAGCAGCTCAGGCTGCAAATGAGGCAGACCTCATGGCCTGGAATTAGCAACCCCTAGGACGGCTGTCAATCAGTGATGACAAGGGAGGTGTATACATCCCCCAGCTCCCTCACCTCTCAGGTGGAATAACAGAGGCATTTTTCCTGTGTTTCTATGTAGGCTTGAGCTCTCGTCATCCTCAGAGGTGGCTCCTTCTGAGACACCTTTCACTTTCCCTTTCCCTCCTCCCCTCCCTTGCTCACTTGCTTGTTTCCCGCACTTTGTAAATATACTGCCTGCATGCGAATCTTTGGCATCCTTCTCACTGAGGGGACCCAACCTAATGCATTGGAAAAATTCTCATTCTTGGAGGGCATCATTGGTTTGAATTATTGCCACTTCTCCTGTTTTAATGCCTAGGGAAATTCCAAAAATTTAGGAAATCTTTAAATTCCCTTTGCCAATCTTTCTTAGATTTGATTTTAGCAGAGATTCATTTTCTCTAGGTCACAAAATCACAGAAGCCTTCCACAAATGGCTACACAACATAGAGTCCACATAGAGCAGAGACTCAGAATCTCCCAGGATTTGACATCCACACATCAGACAGTCCTAGAGTCTCAGGTTTTTTCTAGGTCGATCGCCTCATAAATCTGCCTTGTGATATTTTTATTCTACCTTAGGGGAAGACCATTGTGTGGATGATGAGAGTTGTTTGTGGAATAAATAATACACCCACTAAAGACATCATTGTCCTAATATCTGGAATCTATGATCATTACTTATGAATATGTCAAAAATAACTTGGCAGACATGGTTGAGAATTTGGGGGTCAGGAGAGTATCCTGAATTATCTGGGTGAGACCATCATAATCACAAGGGTCCTTACAATAGGGAGGGAGGAAGGTAACAGCCAGAGAGGACCTGGGACAACGGACAGGGAAACTGGAGTGATGGAGGTAGGGGCCATGCTGCTAGGAATGTGGGAACATCAGAAAGATGGAATGCTCGATATTGGATTCTCTCTCTTGAAGCCTAGACTGAATAGAGCCCTATTACTCCTTGATTTTACTTCATTGAGACTTCTGACCTCCAGAAATGTAAGGTAATACAGTTGTATTATGTGTAGCTGTAAGGTTGTGGTAATTTGTTACAGCAGCAACAGGAAACCAATGCAAGGGGAAGGGGTGTGTTTTACTTCCCTAGTGTATCACTGTCCTCTGTTCTCCCAAATAGTTCTGTGTTTTTGTGTTTGCTGTCAATTTCAAGAAGAGACAGAAAACATTTTTCTATGAGGAGAGCTAACACCACAATTCTTCTTACGTAGAAAGTGTCTTGAGTAATTCTCTAGGTTAGGTCTTGTATAATCTTGGTATCTGAGAGCCTGGAGGTCATCCCTCACAGCACATGAGAAGAGGAAGGGGATGCGGGTTTGCTGTTTTAACATTTGTGGGGCAAATTAGATGTACAAGACTCATTCTTTTATTATTATTATTATTATTGTTCTTTAAGTTCTAGGGTACATGTGCACAACGTGCAGGTTTGTTACATACGTATACATGTGCCATGTTGGTGTGCTGCACCCATTAACTCGTCATTTACATTAGGTATACCTCCTAATGCTATCCCTCCCCCCTCCCCCCACCCCACAACAGGCCCTGGTGTGTGATGTTCCCCTTCCTGTGTCCATATGTTCTCATTGTTCAATTCCCACCTGTGAGTGAGAACATGCAGTGATTGGTTTTTTTGTCCTTGCGATAGTTTGCTGAGAATGATGGTTTCCAGCTTCATCCATGTCCCTACAAAGGACATGAACTCATCCTTTTTTATGGCTGCAAGCGAGGACTGAGTCAGAGAGATGGGGATGGCAGAGGAGACAAAATGTGGTCAGGGCCGTGTAAGATGTGACCCTGCTGCCATATCTGAAAGAAAGGCTGTTGGTGTTTGTAAAGGCTTTGGGCAAATTGTGCTTTGTAGACAAAACTGTAGAAGGGTCTGGGTTTAAGCTTAGTGTCAGCGTGATGAGGACTAGAGGTCGCAGTGAGCTTGTGTTAAGAAATCCACCCTGCACTTCTGGCTTTGTCTCTTTCCTGGTTTTATAGGTGGTGGGTTCCTCTATGGAATGAACGTGGCTCTGTGGAAGGAACATAGTTAAGGTCAGACAGACCTAGATTCCAAGTTCAGCTTCAACAACTGCTGACCAAGTGACTTTTACGCAAATCAGCCATGTGCTGTCATGAACAGTTTCCTCATGTGTGAAATGGGGCACTGAGGATGTGAAGGGGTGTCCTGAGGATTCCGCCAGCTGATGCACCATGAAGTGTACATACATGTATAGACAGACACACACACATACATGAGAAGAGTATCTAGTGCCCCTTTTATGCATTCTTGAGTAACTCAGAATGTTATGTGAGATATTAACAGTCATATTTCATTTTCAACTAAAATTATCAATATTTATCTTATAACTAACAGATGCTTCTCTGTACACTGTAGGTTTCATGTGCACTTCTTCAATCACAAAATTTTTCACCAATCTATTTATGTCTAGTATCAGAAAATTAAGCAAGGAGATTGCAAACCAACACAACACCTTTAGTCTGGATTTTCCCGGAGCCCCATTTGTGTTAGTGTCCTTGGGCTACTGTAACAAGTTCTCAAAAATGTGGTAGCTTCAAACAACAGGAATGGAATCTCTCATAGTTCAGAAGTCCAGATCAGTTTCACTGGGCTAAGATCTTGGAGTCATCAGTTCTGGCTCCTTCTGAAGCTCTAGGGAGCAGTCTGATTTAGCTCTTCCAGCTTCTGGTGGCTTCTCTCTCCCGGAATGTGGACACATCACTGCAATCTCTGTCTCTGTGTTCACATTGCCTTCTCCACTTCAGTCTATGCTAAATGTCTCTCTACCTCTTGGTTTTTTTAGGACACTTGAGTTTGCATTTAAGTCCCAGTTGATTAATCTAAGAATATCTCCCTGTTTCAAGCTCCTTAATTTACACCTGCAAAAGCTGTTTTCCCAAATGAGATACATGCATAATCTTCTTGGAATGAAACCTCACTATTTGGGGATGATACTCAGTACTACACCATTACATAACCAGGTCTCAGTGTTAGTCCAGTACATACATCACAATCTCTCTCTCTCTCTCTCTCCATACACCCTGGCTTCCTCCTTTTCTCAATGTCATAAATCTCTTCAATTCCTTAAGTGTATCCAGTGATACCTATAAACAAATAAGTATCTGAGAAAAGTCTCAATCAGTTTAGAAATTTATTTGGTCAAAGTTAAAGAAATATCAGTGAAACAGCCTCAGGAGGTCTTGAGAACGTGTGTCAAAGGTCGTCGGGCTACAGGTTGGTTTCACACGTTTTAGGGAGACACAAGATATCAATCAATACGTGTAAGCTGTACATTGCTTTGATATGGAAAGGCAGGACAGCCCGAAGGAGGGGGGATGTTGGGGACTTCCAGGTCATAGGTGGATTCAGAGATTTCATAGGTGGTTGAAAGCGTTTATCTAATGACCTGTAATCAACACAAGGGAGTTTCTGGGTTTAGAAAAAGGGTTTTGGAGCCAAGGTTGCATCATGCAGATGAAGCCTCCAGGTAGCAGGCTTCAGAGAGAATAGATTGTAATTGTTTCTTAGTAGACTTAAAAGGTGCCAAACTCTTAGTTAAATCTCTCTGGGTCAGGAAAGAGATTTAAAAAGGAATCTCTACAGAATGTAGATTTTTCCCACAAGAACCAGCTTTGCAGAGGCATTTTTAAATACATTAAATAACAATATCTTGGGGAAAATACTTTGATTTCTCTTAGGACGTGGTATCTGTCACATTGGTATCTTATTGCTATAAAGAGTTTTCTTTGTCAGTCTCAAGGTCTCTGTCTTCATATTAAAAGCTGGTCAGTTGTGCCTGAATTTTAAAGGGAAGAGGGTAAGTTCAGGCATATCCAATCATCCGTTCCGATCATGGACTGCATTGTATTTCAGGTTGATTTTGGTGTGTCCTTGGTTGAGAGGAGGAGTTCATTCAGTTGGTTAGGGAGCTTAGAGTTTCATTTTTGGTTTACTCACCTATGTCCAGGTAAGAGGGCCCCACACAGGAGGTCTTGCTCAGAACCTGGCTTGCAGGGCTGCTTACAGACCTTCTATGTCTCCTGTTGTCATGCACAAGGAAGGACACAGCCAATGACAACCCTCAGCCATCCAGGGAGAAGCTGTGTCTGCAGAGGATGGTCATGAGCTGTGAGTCTAGAGACCTGTGATTGTCTTCAGGGGCCTGTGGTCCTCGGCTTTCATAGGAGTTGTGGGGGCACTGGCTCAAATAGCATCCACCAGGATTCTAATCAGAATATCTCATTCACAGAAGGCAGTGGGTGATATGACAGTACAGAGGGACTCTGTGGGGCCAGCTGCATGGAGCACTCTGGGAGAGTCACTGGCACCCGTGCTAGACAGATCTTCATTCAACTTCTGGAGCACACGGATTTAGATCTCTTTACATCATTTTGAAACACCATTTATCATTCTGAAGGAAACCACTGTAATTAACTAAGGTAACATCTTTAATAGGTAGAAAGAAAAAAGTGATTATTTTATTGCCAAGATGATTACAAGAAAAGAAACAAACAAAAATAGCATGAAGGAAAGAGCAACACTAGACTGAGGGCTTTGGGTAAGAGGTTGAGACTTAGTAGTGAATGCCCTGGGCCATCTTCTGTCAAAAGGGAGGGACAATCAGCTAAGGGAAATATGCAGTAGAGGCAAAATCTTGGTTAGTAAAGAATCCTAAGAGAAAACAAGAAGTCTCCTTCCTGAGCATCATGTTGGTGTCGGGAAGATGCACATAATCCCCCGATTGCATGTCTTACACTTTTCAGCAATTAGTGCTCAGCATGAATTTAGAAGACACCATTCACTTCACAGCACGTGGGGACACAGTCAAGGCAGCGCTGAGAGGCAAGGCTGGGCTTTCAGTCTCAGCGCACAGAGCAGGTTCCCCACTACTCCGCACCCTGGTGTCTCCTCCCAGATGTTCCACCTCATTCTTGCCTTAAGGGCTCCAAGTTGTTAATGGGACAGTAGCCCTCTTCCTTTCCCAGGGTTTCTAAGAATTTGGCTCTCTTTTGTGTATTGTGGGGTTTGTTTGCCATCTAGAGGCAGCTTTTTGGCATAGCAACTTACAGGCTTTTTCTACTTGTGATAGTGAAAATAAATACATAAATAAATTCATCATAAATAATAAATTGACTTAATGCATTGAACCTGTAAAAAAAAAATAAGGTCAGTTTGAGAGCTTAAAAGGAGCCTGATGAGGTTGAAAAGACAAATTACCTTTAGTAAAGAGCAGTTGGAGCAATAGATGATTCTTTAATCAAGGACATTTTAAGAGTAATCATCAAATGGTAAATAAAACTTGAAATAAGATGATAAAATATAATCTTATATGCAAAAAAAATTTCCAAGAACCAGAGAAATACATTTTCAGATTAAAACAAACAAAAAATGTGGGTTTATCATCAGATCCGCTAAATGGAAGATTCCTCAAATGTGTGCTTGGAGCAAAAATAACACTTATCCCTATTTGAAAGTTCAAGATTTTTGAGCTTTAGAAGAAAACAGTTTTCCCTTCACTCTGTTCCACTCAATGCTTCTGAGGATGGCCATGGGGCAAAAAGCGGCGTCGGCGGGGGGGGGCAAAAAGCCGGGGCGGGCAAAAAGCCGCGGCGCCAAAAAGCCGCGGCGGCGAGGGAGGGAAAAGCCGCGGCGGCGGGCGGCAAAAAGCCGCGACGTCGGGGGGCAAAAAGCCGCGGCAGCGGGGGTGCAAAAAGCCGCGGCAGCGGGGGTGCAAAAAGCCGCGGCAGCGAGGGTGCAAAAAGCCGCGGCAGCGGGGGTGCAAAAAGCCGCGGCAGCGGGGGTGCAAAAAGCCGTGGCAGGGAGGGGCAAAAAGCCGTGGTGGGCAAAAAGCCGCGGCAGCGGGGGGCGAAAAGCCGCGGCGGGCAAGAAGCCGCGGCGGCAAAAAGCCACCGCGCGGGGAGGAAAAAGCCGTGGCGGGCAAAAATCCGCGGAAGCAAAAAGCCTCGGCGCGGAAAAGACCGCGGCGGCGGGGGTGCAAAAAGTCGCGCCTGGCAAAAAGCCGCAGCGGCGGGGGGAACAAGCCGCGGCGGGCAGAAAGGCTCGGCGGCGGGGGGCAAAAAGCCGCGGTGGAGAGGGGGCAAAAATCCGCGACGACGCGGGGCAAAATAGTGGATCTGGTGTAGAAGGCCGGCACAGCTTGGCATTGCTGGAGTGTGATGAGATAGGAAATGTGCAGCCAAAGACAAAAAAAGATGTAAGTAGGCTTGACTCATTGCAGCTAAGAACCCAGATGTTATCTTGAGGGTTTTAACTAATAAGCAGTTTAAATCAGAATGGCACATTCTGATTTTTTTTTATATGTTCACATTTGGCAGGCATAGATACTGTTTGAAAAGAGAAAAGTCAGTAGATAGAGGTAACAAACTTAAATATGTGCCGAGTCTAGAAACAAGAGACTAGGGAGATAAGGACCTTTGGAAATAAAATGAAAGATTTGAAAACTGGCTGGGGGATGAGGATAAGGCAGGTCTTTAGGGTCAATCCCTGTTTTGCTTTAAGTTGTTAGAGGGTGGTTTTACAACATATTGTAGAATACATCATTTCAGTTTTGAGCATCTTGAGTTAAATTGTCCTAACATATCTCATGAATTTGATTTTCTTCCCTGGGAAGCTAATATTTCAAAAACTTAAAGAGTATATAGATTTCCAACTGGTATCCAATTTATAAAACTATCTCTAGGCTGCTGATTTCAGGAGGAGGCTCATGAATATTCTATTTGCAGAGAATATATCGGGAGTTAACATCAGCGTCAATATTTGTGGACGACCAGTTAACTAAACCACCTCTTAGTGTATTTAGATGGGAAATCTTAGCTGAAGATATTCAATAATGAACCAACAGTGACTAAAAAATTCAATATTGAAGTATATTTCATTGTAATTAATTTGAATTGAAGTAGCCATATACAGCTAGTATTTACTACATTGAACAATGCAAATAAGAGGAAAAAAGAACCATCTCTAATACCACATGCCAAAATCCTCATCAATTTATTGTAGCTAAAGGAGTTGATCAGAAGCAGCATTTGAAAGCATCAACTAAACCAGCTGGGGTTAGTTCACTGTCATTCTCTCAGAACCATCTCTTCTCTGAACAAAACAAGTACAAGAGTTCATTGTGAATCTGTATTCTCCTTGCCTATTTTAAGGTTTTGATGTTGACACTAATTTGTGAAATCCCTCCTGTGGTGTGATATTTCGTTTTCCTTGCTTTCTGTTAGGACAAGAATGCTTCAGCTCTTAATTTAAAATTATGTTTCTCCCTCCTAGGTTGAGTGAACTTAGAATGCATTCTCTGACATATCCAAGTTTTTCTTAATGTGAATTTGGGGAAAAAAGCATAGTTAATTAGCTGAGACTTCTTATTCTAGGCTTGACCCTGTGTTCGACATCTATTGAATTTGTAGTTGCATGGGCTGCTCTCTGACACTGGTTACTGACCTGGAAGCTATATTAACGTTAGGGGAGGTGGTGTATGAGCATTAGAGGTATCCTTGCAAGGAAAGACTTGTCTTATCTCAATACGTCTTTTTTTTTGCACACAAGAAAGTCAATGTTTGAGTCTTCTAAAATCTTCCTATTTCCAAGTTGCAGAGTACCATTGATTCCTAAACAAAGACCTAATTTTTGAGTCAGAGACGTGGCAAGGTAGTGAATCACCATTATAATTTAACAATCTTCAAGATAAAATTATCTCTCTGATATTTAGATTTTGCCCAATTATTAAGATATTTGGGTGTTTCGTTAAGAATGGAAGATTCTAGTCTCTTGAGCAGAGACTATAAAGGCCTCAGATGATCATTTTTAATTTTATGCTCTTTTCTTTAACACCTTCAACACAGTTGGAAGCGGCTGATATTCCCCAGAGTTGTTGTGTTTTTTAAACCAAATGCATGGTTCAGTGGTAGAAAACTGGGCTGATCCAAGCTGTTTTCAGTAAACACTTCATTTCAGGTGAACTATTTCATATTAAATAATCTCTAGATCCTGTCTTCCAAACTAACTAGATCAGATAACCTACCCTGGATTTTCTCCTTTTAGGGTCTGTGAGCTGCAGTCACTTTTGTGAAAATGATTGCAATGACAAGATAGAGTTGTAGATGGGGAAAATGTTTTGACTAATTTAAGCATAGTGGTATTTCATATGAGAATTGAAGTTACACACATTTGAAAATTATAATGGAGTCTCTTGGCTGAGCTTTAAAAAAAATAGCGTTTAGGCTAAACAGGGAACTGCTACCTCTCCTAAAATCAGAAAGATGTTACAGTAATTCTCCATTCTCTAGAATTATCAGGAAGCACCTTTGTGATGATTTACTTTTGGTCTTGGGAGTGTGAGCCCGTGTAGTCTTGGAACCATCAATTAGAATGATGGCTTTCTGATCCCAAAGTCATTCGTTCTGAAAACAATATTTTTCATAAATTTGAAAGTGAGAAGTTTTGATCTTGCCATTCCCAAATAACTCTCTTAATAAGAGGCATCAGCATGCTTCAGTGACAGCTGTCACCTTCCAGTGCTGAGAGTCATCTTTGAGTTCTCCATTTCACTCCCTACACTCCAATTTAGCTGCAGTTCTCTTGGCCAGTCCTCTGAAATACATCCATGGCCTAACAACTTCTCACCACTAATACCACTCATCCTGACAGCATTCTCACCTAAGTCACTACCTTTTTTCTCTGGATTACAATAGCATCCCAATTTATTTGCTCACATAACCTATTTATTCTACACGGTGCACCAGATACACCCCATTGTAATGCAAACACAATCATGTTATTCTCTGGTGAAAGTATCTCATATATTCCTATCGCATTTAAAATTAATTCAGAATCATCCCATGATTATCAAAACCCTACATGCTCTTCCACAACATGGTTTACTTCCAAGATATCTCTTCAACTCTTTTTTCACTGTACTGAATTGGTGACTAATAGTCATATTTTTGTTTTTGCTCAAAAAGTCTTGACTTCTAAATTTTTCAGTTTCTCCTTTATCCACAGGTAACTCTTTCCTCATAAGGCAAATTGCTTGCTTCCTTGAGATCTGCTCTCAAAGATACCCTTCATTTTCTACCTAATATTAATAACTTTAATCATTCACTATTCCATTACTATGCTCTATAGTGTATACAATTTCTGTTCTTTGTCATGTTATTAACTAAATTATTTATTTGTTCCAGTAACGTATTCCATAAATATTATACACATAAAAATTGTTATTTTTATTGCTGTATGCTCAGCTGCCCAATAACAGTCTGAGGATTAACATATTTGTTAAATGCACAAATACGTTCTTTCATAAATTTTAGTTTAATAATTTTATATTAAACTCCCTCTATATTTACAATATGAATTAGATCATTCAGAATAAACATTCCAGTGGAAAAAACTAAACAATTTGTTATAAAACATCCTTAAAAGCATCAGAAAGTTAATACAGCAATGAAGAATTACAGGACCAAATTAAGAATGGTATGCAAGCCTGTTTGTGAGGCTTATGTTTGGGTAATCTCTTTACTTAGAGTGACTGTAAATCTCAAAAGAGGATTAAACTGAGAAATAACTCTATCAACTCACATGGTAAGGGTATTTAAACATATCTTAGTAATGGAGAAAATTGAAAGAAAAGAAAAAAGATAAAGGGAGAAAGAGAAACAGAGCGAAAGGGATAATGAAGGAGAGAAAGAAGAAGAGAAAGGAAGAGGAAGAAAAGTAAAGAGGAGGAGGGAGAGGGAGGAAGAAAGGTGAAAAGAAAGAATGCTAAAGTTTTTAACAACATAATTTATCCTTCTAGAATATGAATGTTGGTCTATTTGATGATGTCCCACAGATTCCTTAGTCTCTGCTCATTTTTTATCTGTTTCTCAGAGTCAATATTTTCCCTTTTCTTATCTTCAAGCTCATGACTTCTTCTGTGTGTGCAAATATACTCTTAAATCCCTCTGGTGATTTTTAAATTTTGATCGTTGTAGTTTTCCACTCCAGAATTTCTGCTATCTCTGTTGATATTCCTACATTTTAATATTTTTTCTGAATCCTTTATTTCTTTGTTTATGTTTTCCTTGTGACATTTGAGTATAATTAAGAGAGTTGTTTTAAAGTCTTTGTCTAGTAAGTTTGAAGTCTGGGTTTCCTTAGAGATATTCTCTGTCAATTTGTTTTGTTCCTTTGAATGAGCCACACTTTCCCATTCTTTGTATGCCTTGGAACTTTTTTTGAAAACTGGGCATTATAATAATTATAATTACTATGTGGTTACTCTGTAAATCAGACCCCCCCCCCCACAAACACAGTAATGTTTTGGGGTTTTAAGTTTTCTTTACTTATTATATTGTTAAGGATTTTTTTTTTACTGAAATTTTCCAAAGTGATTTACAAAACTGTTTGCTTTATAAGGTGTGGTCACCGAAGTCTTTTTGTTTCCTTGACAAATGTTAAGCTAATGTTTTGACAGTGATTTTCTTGTATGTCAGGAACTAAGCAAACAGGCAAATACAACAAAAACGAAAAGAAAAACAAGTAATCATTATCCAGCAAAATATGTCTCTAGGCCATGCAGACTGGCTTCGTGCTGGGTTCTTTAAAGCCGAAACAAAGTGTGTGTTCACTCTTGCACTGAGTGAAGTTCAAGTTCACTCTTGCACAGAGCTTGCACTGAGGAGAGGGATCCGCCAAGGTAAAAGTGTAGGGTCTTCTTATGACATTTGTCAGCATGTGGCTTAACCTATGCATACATGTGACTTTCTAGACTCTCTTGTGTACGTGAATGATTTTGAATGTCTTAGTTTTCCAAATACTCTTCTCCAACTTTTCTTCCTGTGCTGAAGGTGATCTACTATATGTGTAAGCTCTAATTTTTGCCCTAAGCATCTGTGGTTTGTTAGGTCTCCTTGCAGAGTTTCTTGATAATGTCCATTCCTTATCTGTTCTGTATTCTAGCAACACAGAAAAAACAAAAGCCTTTCATGAGTCCTTTAGGTATCCCCCACACCAGTCAGAACAGACACATAGTAATTTGCGGGTAAGATCTTCTCTTGTTCCTTTGGATCATGGACCAGGGTTCCTCACTGGGAACGTGGGCTTCTGACACTTCAAAACTGCCAATTTGCTGCTGCAAAGGCAAGTTAAAAATGTCATAAAGTTTTCAAGTTGTCTTTTTCTTGAGTCTGCTTTCACTTGGTTGCTGTAATCTTTTGACCATTTTCCAGAGTTTTGGCAAAGTTTATTCGGACAGTTTCTCTTAGTTGTGTGATGTTTCTGTGGGGAAATGAAAGATTGCAGCTGTCTCCACTGCTGTTTTGCTGATGCTCCTCTTTTGTCAATTTTTTCTTCATGTTATTATGCTTTGTTATTAGTTCATGTATTAGTTTTCTAGGGCTCCCATAACCAACTAACACAAACTGGGTGCCTTGAACAACACACTGCTGTTTTGCTGATGCTCCTCTTTTGTCAATTTTTTCTTCATGTTATTATGCTTTGTTATTAGTTCATGTATTAGTTTTCTAGGGCTCCCATAACCAACTAACACAAACTGGGTGCCTTGAACAACATACATTTATAGTCTTATAGTCCTGGAAGCTAAAAGTCTGAGATTGAGGTGTCAGCAGGGATGGTCCCTACAAGGGCTATGAGAGAAAGTCTGTTCTGTGCCTTGTTTCTTGCTTCTGGTGGTTTAGTGGCAGTCTTTGGCCTTCCTTGGCTAATCTCTGCCCTCATAATCACATGGTACTCTCCCTGTGTGTATGTCTCCCTCTACTCAATTTTTTTTTTTTATAAGGACATCAGTCATATTGAATTCAGGCTCGTCTGATTTTATCTTAACTTAATCACCTGTAAAGAACCTATTTTCTAATGAGGTCATTTTCAGTGGTTAGGATTTCAGCATCTATATAGAGGAAACAATTTAGCTGATATCTGTGCATACATGACTGTAATAGCTATGTCTTCCAAAATCCTTGACCTCCTTATTACTACAATATAAATATTTAAAATCCTATTCACATTTTTAATAGTCTATATCGTGTGTTATGAGTATAATGAGTTCAGTGTTCTTATGATTGCTCTTTGCATGATATTTTTTATCATCTTTTTACTTTCAATCCATTAGTATCCTTGCATCTCCGGGTATATTGGGATCACTTGTTTTGATCCAGTCCGACAATCTCTGCCTCTTGATTGGACTTTAATCTGCTCACATTTAATATTATAATTGGTATAATTCTATTTATGACTGCCATTTTACAGTTTGTTTTCTATATTTCCCAAATATTTTTCTTTATTGCTTTATTTTACAATGAATGAATATTTTCTAAAACAGGGAACTTTAGATTACTAATGAATTATTTTACTATATATTTTTGAGAATTTTTGTTGTTGTTGTAAGTTTACCATATAAGTACATGGAAAACTAGTTATTCAAATCGTCTTCCAATTTATACTAGTAAACTTTCATTAATACATAGAAACATCATTCTTTTAGAAATCTCTTTTATTTCTTCCATTTTAAAGTATTATCACTTTACACATTACATCTATTAAAGTCACAAAGCCAACAATACATTTTAGTAATTATTACTTTACCATCTAGTGGGATTACCTTATCACAATACATTATTCTTCCAACTATCTCCTTTTTGATGTTACTGGAAAATATGTCATAGACATGTTACATTTCTACATGTCAAATACTCAGCAATACATTATGCACATATTATTATTATCATTGAGACGGAGTCTCCCTCTGTCGCCCAGGCTGGAGTGCAGTGGCACAATCTCCGCTCACTGCAAGCTCCATCTCCCGGCTTCATGCCATTTTTCTGCTTCAGCCTCCCGAGTAGCTGGGACTACAGGCGCCCGCCATCATGCCCGGCTCATTTTTTGTATTTTTAGTAGAGACGGGGTTTCACTGTGTTAGCCAGGATGGTCTCGATCTTCTGGCCTCGTAATACGCCTGCCTCGGCCTCCCAAAGTGCTGAGATTACAGGCATGAGCCATCGTGCCTGGCCGTTATACACATATTATTTTATAAACAATTTATGATAAAGAGAAAACATGCATTTATACTGTCTTTTATAATGTTAATATTACCTATACCAGTGCTTTTTTAAAAATGTGCATTCAAATGACTGTCTTTTGTAACTGGCTTTTGCCTTAGGAATTTATTTAGTTTTTTTTTTTTTTTTTATATATGGTAGGTCTGCCAGCAACAACTTCAGTTAATATTTCTGTTAATTTGGGTAAGTCTTTGTGTTATCTTCATTTTTGAAAAATAATTGCTGGATAAGGAATTGGTGGCTGACAGTTTATTTTTGTTTGCATCTTTTGACTATATTATTCTACTGCCTCTTGCCTTCCATTGTTTCTCTTAAGTCAGCTGTTACTCTTACAAAACATAGGTGCTCAAAAAATAAACATGTGCATGAATATTTACAGCAGTAATATTTATACAGTCAAAAAGTGGAAACAATCCATATGCTTGTTGACTCATAAATGGACACCCAATTTCCAGCTATAACAAAGAATGAAGTACTTATACATGGTATAATATGGGTGAAATTTGAAAGCATTATGTTAAATTCACAGAAGGACAAACATTACTTGATTTTATTCACATGAAACATCAGGAATCGGCAAATCAATTGGGATATAAATCAGATTAGTGGTCATTAGGGCTCAGGGAAGCAGAATAGGGTGTAACAACTTAATGCATAATGGGCTTTTAGAAGGGACATGATGAAATTATCCTGGAACATTGTGAATATTCTGAAAGCAATTGCATTGTATGTTTTAAAATGGTTAAGTTATTAATTTTATATTATGTGATTTTTGCCTTAGAAAACAAAAAAGAGAAAATAGCCTTACTGTATATACAAAAAACTCAAGATGTGTTACAAATTTATATGTGAAATCCAAAATACTGTAATATTTAAGGGATAGCTAAGTAGAATAACACTAAAATTTAACATAATGAAATATTTCCTTAGAAAAGAAAAAAGCACAGTAATTAAAAAGGGAAATATAGTTAATATTTTTTCCCTCCATTAAGCATACCATTAACTGATTAAAAAATCAAGCTGCAATTATGTAAACTACATTTTCTGAAACCATAAAGAAAATAAGAAGTGAAAAGGGATTTGGGAAAAAAATCCAAAGGTACAGTCAACTACACAAAAAAAGCTTAGTCTCATTAATCATTATGAAAATGCAAATTGTAGTTGAAAAAAGATAAAACTACAATTCAAAGAGAAAGCCTAAAATTTCAACCCCCCCAAAATTCTGGGTTTTGCAGAGCTGGGATGGAATAGGGCTCCTAACCTTACAACAATGTAATAACCAAACTGACTTCAAAGTCATGACTTTATTTTTATAGCAACCAGGTTGCCAAGAACTGAGTCAAAATGTCAGGGAAAGGAGGCACCTGCAAGGAGAAAGGGGACAGATGCACTTACATAGGACAGATGCAAATAGACACCACTATGACACGTAAAGCTGGAATAATCAATACATTCCTAAGGACAAAGTGGGGCTGGTCGGATTGGGAAATGGCTGACAGCTGCAGAAGTTGGGAAAGATCCATCATCTTGAAAACTTTTTCCGCACAAACCCACTGTGATCGCTCAAGCAATTGGTAAGGAATCCAAGAGAGTCTGTATATGATACAGATCAGGGAGAGCAGAACACTTGGGAGGTGACCAGGTCTTTGGGGCCGAGCCCTTTTGAATGGGATTAGTGCCTTTATAAAAGAAGCTCAGTGGAGTTCTTGTGTGCCTTCCACTATGTGAGGACATAGAAAGAAGGCACCATCTATGAACCATGAAATGGGCTCTCATCAACACTGAATTTGTGAGCATTTTGACCTGAGATCTTACAGCCTCAAGAAGTGTGAAAAAAGAAATATCTGTTGTTTTTTAGTCACCCAGTTCATGTTATTTTGTTATAAGAATCCAAATAGACCAAGATATTCCACTTAATATGTAGGGGAAGGTAACAAAAACTGACACACCTAGAATACTCATGATGCTGGGAGTATGAAAACAGGAAAAACAAAACAAAACTGCTCTTGAAGGTGAAGGAGGAATATACTGAGCTCACCAACACAGCCAGGAAAAGAACAGAAGTGTGAGAAGTCTACATTCCTGAGATCCTGAGAAAAAGTACCTGCATAAGACTGAGATGAAATTACCTACCCTAGTTATAATTGAAATCCCAAAAAGAAAATAGGAAAAAATAGTGGAGCAAAAGAAATATTTTTCAAAATAACTGCCAAAAATATTCTAAAAGAAGTGACAGAAAATCAAATTTCAGATATAGGAAACTCAGAGAATGTCAAATAGAACAAAAATAAATAAGAATTACATCTTGGAAAATCTTTAAAAAATCAACTCTAAATTTTATATCTTGCTCCAAATATATAGAGATACAAATAGGTTATCATCAAGATATGGAGAAAGCCATATCATGGAAACACTAAAATAAAGCTGTGGAAGGACGACATTGATATTAGACACAACAGAGTTCAGAACAAGAAATAGTATCAGAGATGAGAGATAATAGATAATATAATAATCAATTCTCAAGAAGATGTAAACATCCTACTAATTAGGGTATGCAGCTAACAACAGAACCTCCAAATACATGAGGAAAAACATGAAAGAAATCAAAGGTGAACTAGAAAAATCCAAAATTATATTTGCAGACTTCAAAACTTTTGTCTTAGTAAGGGACAGACTAGGCACAGACTCAGTAACCATATGGAAGATAAGAACAACAATATCACCAACAAGACATCCAATCTGCAATGGCAGATACTCTTTCCTTTCAAGTGAAAAAAAAACAGTATGGCATATTCTCTAACAAACCCAGAATTTCTAATGTTTGCGGTCTTCCTTCCTTCTTTCCATCTTCCTTTTTCTCTTTCCTTCCCTTGCCTTCTTCCTTCCTTTCTTCTTTTCCTCTTCCTTTTCTTTTCTTTTCCTTTTTCTTTTTTTCTCCTTCCTTCCTTCTTTGCTTCCTTCTTTCTTTCCTCTGATTCTTCCTTCCCTCCTCCCTCCCTTCCTTTCTCCCTCCCTTCTTTTCTTCCTTCTTTTCTCTTATTCTTTCTTTCTCACTTCCTTGCTTTCTTTCTTTTTTCTCCCGTCCTCCCTCCCTCCTTTTCTTCCTTCCTCCCTCCCTTCCTTTCCTCATTTTTCCTTCCTTCCTTCCTTCCTTTTCCTCTTTATTTTCTTTCTTTGCCTTCCTCCTTTTTACCGTTCTCTCTTCCTCCTTTCCTTCCTCTCTTCTTCCTTTCTTTCTTTCTCTCTTTCTCTCTCTGTCTCTTTCTTTCCCTTTCTTTCTTTCTTTCTTTCTTTCTTTCTTTCTTTCTTTCTTTCTTGTGTTCTTTCTTTCTTTTTTCTCCCTTCCTGCCTTTCTCCCTTCCTCCCTCCCTCCCTTCCTTCCTTCTCTCATTTCCTCCCTCTTTTCTTTCTTCTTTCTTTCTTTCCTTCCTTCCTTCTTTCCTTCCTTCTTTTTACTTTCTTTCTTTTCTTTTCTTTCTTTCTCTTTACCACAATTCATATTATTTAAAAAAATTAATACAGGGAGGAAGAAAAATAAAGAACATTTTAATCTGCATGTAAATAGATTATGTCTGCTGTAGACAAAAGGATGACCTCCCAAAAATGTTCATGTCCTAATTACCAGAATCTAACATACAAATAGGTTACATGGCAGTGGAAAACTAGATTTCAAGTGAAATTAAGGTTGCAATAAAATGATGGAGAGATTATATTAAATGGTGGGGATCAATGAAATCACAAGATTCCTTATAAGTGAAAGAAGAAGGCAGAAGAAAGGCAACCATGGAGGTGGTGGCATGAGAAATTACTCAACATCACTGACTTTTAAGATACAAGAATGAGGACCCAGTGCGGTGGCTCACGCCTAATCCCAGCCCTTTGGGAGGCCGCCGGGGTGGGTGGATCACGAGGTCAGGAGTTCGAGAACATCCTGGCTAACATGGTGAAACCCCATCCCTACTAAAGGTACAAAAAATTAACTGGGCATGGTGTCACGTGCCTGTAGTCCAAGCTACTCAGGAAGCTGAGGCAGGAGAATCGCTTGAACCCGGGAGACAGAGGTTGCAGTGAGCTGAGATCGTGCCACTGCACTCCAGCCTGGGCGACAGAAGGAGACTCTATCTCAAAAAAAAAAAAAAGATATAAGAACGAGGTCATGTTCCAAGAAATAAAGGTGGCCTCTGCATGCTGAAAAAAATAAAGTACATAGACTCTTCCACAGAGCCCTCAGAAAGACTGCAGCCCTGCCCAAAACTTGATGTTAGCCCTGTGAGTCTCATTTAAGGCTTCTGAACTCCAGAACTGTAGGCTTAACAGTCACTTTATTGTAAGATATGTATTTCGTGATAATTTGTTACAGCAGCAAGAGGAATTTTATATAGTAATTGTATCATGAAAATGAGAACCATAATTGACAACTGCTTTTAATACTGCACTTGGATGTTTGAAATCACGTACATGGAAATGATCTCTATGTGTATGAGGGAGGATAGCAAATTGATGCCAAAATAACGCAAATACAATCTTAAACTTATTTCTATGTAGGTTTCTTTTAATCTTTGAAATTAAAATGAAATTAAAGAACTATGATATTTTGATGAAATTAGACTAAAATGAACAATAAGAAAATAAGAACTTACTTGTATTCTTTATATGGTCAGTAAAGAAGTGATAGTTGAAAAAAACAAGGTCAAATGAAGGTGATGATTTAGGAAGTTGGAAAGATAGCCTAAACTACAAAATGGTATATAACTAGTGAACACTTAGACACACTGATTGATGAACTTCAGCTTTTGGATTGGTGAGAGCATAAAATGAGAGCAGCTGAGGTTTGCAAATCTGCAATCTCCTTGTGGAAAAACAGGCGAAAACACATTTCAGCCTAATAAGATTTACCTACTAATGAGTCAAGACTTGATCCATTTGTCCTCGTAATTCAAAAGCTAATTCAAATACTGATTTGATATATTGTGTGAACAACCGTTGCTGATTATCATCACATACCTGGCATTCTCTTTTATCTGATATCTGAAATATTTGGTAATTCCTGGACTTTCTCTTTTCAAACCCAGTACAGTTTAATTTCAATCTTAGAACAGTTGTCTTTGAGAAATTCTTCCCTCTACTGCATCTGTGAATGGGCATAGCATGGTTACATACGTACTATCACCACAGAGAACATTTGTTGAATTAAAGCCAAAGTTTAAAGCAACAGCTTTAACTCACTGGTTTTACTAATATTTTCCTCCCCAATAGCCACAAAAATATTGATACCCTCACACCTTTTAACATAAAGCTTGGTGTTGTCTATTTTTCAGGTGCTGTCATCTATATGATCTCAGTATTTTAAAAATCAGCTTCCAGCCCATATGGTGGCTCATGCTTGTAATACCAGCAGTTGAAGAGGCTGAAATGAGAGGATTCCTTGAGCCCAGGAGTTCAAGAGCAATCTGGGCAACATAGCAAGACCCAGTCTCTATCAAAAGTTAAAAAAAAAAGGTGGGCATGGTGATGTGCACCTGTTGTCCTGGCTATTTGGGAGGCCAAGGTGGAAGGATTGCTTGAGCTGGGGAGGTTGAATCTGCAGTAAGCAGTGATTGCACCACTACACCCCAGCCTGGGCAACAAAGAAAGACCCTATCTCAAAAAATATATATAATACAAATAAAAATCAGCTCTCATTGATTTCTACATAAATATTCACAGATGATGTCCATGTAGAAATAAATAATTATATATCTGACAATGGGTCCATATGATCTTCA
Organism: Homo sapiens; assembly: GCF_000001405.40. Taxonomy (NCBI): domain Eukaryota; kingdom Metazoa; phylum Chordata; class Mammalia; order Primates; family Hominidae; genus Homo; species Homo sapiens. The sequence goes on from NT_187380.1 coordinate 107,066, forward strand.
AAATGTAAAATGCCTATCTGTGTAATTGACTGCTCAGTCTCATTAACGAATATTGATTCAATTCTACTTTCTTGTTCTAGATAAATTATGTAATCTAGCTTTTCGTTTCACTTATTTATTGATAACAACAGGAAGAATGACAAGATATCTATTCTGGAAAATTACTCTTGTAGGAGTAAAGATGAAACAAAGATAGAATTGCATGGAAAACTAGAAAAAAGTATGGTCTTCCAATAATCTATCACATCATATACAAAAGGCCTCATAAAACTCAGATATTTTATCTAAAAATGTAATTTTCATCTTAGGAATGATCAAAGCATGAGACTACAGTTGTATTAAAATGTGCTTGTATCACAAACATAGGTGCTAAAAAGGAGGGGAAAACATCACTACTGATATTTTCAATGTATGTTTTACTTTTCATCAACATGAACCTCAACTTGATATGATGCAGATTGAAGGAAATCACCCATAATTCCATATGAAGAAGGCCTGTGATATTTTATGGGAAAATAAATAAAGAAAATGCTAACAGAAACCCTATTAAGCATGAAGCTTTATGGAGCAAAGACAAATCCAGTGGTGAAAGATACACACTCGAGTTCTGTTTGTTGTCTTGGAACAATACGGTTTAGAGGTGACTGGCGGGTGAGGAGAACATATGCGAGTTCACCAAAGAGAAAAGTTGAATGAGGCAATGCCTCTTCCTGACCATATCTCTTACTCAGATAACTATATAATTTATTGCCCAGTAAAGGGTATATTAAAAAATCATATTAAAAGTCATGCAGTGAAGTTGTCCAGGGAAATCAAGACTTAACAGTCTCACTCTGACAATAATGAACAGGGGAATTCCCTCAAGATAGACTAGGACATGACTCCACACTGGCAGGTAGTAGTACCAGAAAAGAACCCATGGAAAATCTTTACCTTATGCTTGAGGTAGGGACCAGGCTAAAGTGAAAGCCAGACATAAAATTCTATCTAAAATAAATCCACAATCGAAGAAAATATGTGGTGTACAGGCATAAAATGTCTTTACTGGATCATTGAAATAGTAAGATAAATTCAACTTTTTACATTGTTTTCTTTTCCTCCAGTTAGGGCTTGAGGTTTGTCTCTGGAGAGTGACTGTCAATTGGAGCCCTGCCTTTCTGGGGTTCTGGTCAGGGCATTGTGGATGCTTAACATGTGCCTTTCACAGGACACTTCCTTACCCCAGCAGTGGCCAGGTGTGCACCCCACGACCAGGCCTCCCTCTCACAGAACATCTGTTGAGACTAGGAGATGCCTGGTGACTGTTGCCTGACCTGTGTACTGTGTATTTCTGACAAGAGCCACTCTCAGAGACCCTGGCCAGGAGGAGAGTTAGGTTCCAGTGTAGGTCAGCTCAGACACATGGAGGCCACAGGACCAAACATGGGAAATCACAGAAGTGGTTTTATTACTCACAGATCCAGAGAGAAGAGGGTAGCTGAGAAGAGGGTTTAGCTGTGTCCCCAGCCAAATCTCATCTTGAACTCCCACATGTTGTGGGACGGAACAGGTTGGAGGAAATTGAATCATGGGGGCAGGTCTTTCCCATGCTGTTCTTCTGAGAGTGAATAAGTCTCACAAGATCTGATGGTTTTATAAAGAGGAGTTTCCCTGCATAAGCTCTCTTGTCTTGTCTGCTGCCATGTGAGACGTGCCTTTCACCTTCTGCCATGATTGTGTGGCCTACCCAGACATGTGGAACTGTGCGTCTATTAAACCTCTTTCTTCTGGAAATTACCCAGTCTTGGGCATGTCTTTACCGGTGGTGTGAAAATGGACTAATACAGTAGCACACCTCATAGGGCTGAACAAAATGGGAAGACGAGTGGGGAGCAAGAGAGAGAAAAGGGGTCTGTGGGACTCCAGCCTTTATTGGGCCCAGAACATTACCCAAATATGTTTTCCTCGAGGCTCTAGTCAGTGGGGTGAGTGCCAGCAGGCATATTTCTTGGCTCCTGCTGCAACTGAGCAGGTCACTCTGGCGTTTGGGAGCTGTCCATGTGTGCTGTGAGGTCTGTGGAGTGAGTCAGGTAGGTTGTATCCAACGGTTCCATAGCTGGTAGTCACCAGGAGGAGGCAACTGTGTAGGGTCAATACCTGGGCCAGCCACACTGAGGAACTGTGAGGGTTAGAACTGCAAATTGTCAAGGGAATCTGAACCCAGCTACCATAAGAGAGAGTTCAACTTATGTTCAATGTGAATGCCATGGCAATATTAAAAGGTAAGAATTCGCTCCATACGTGCTTGAGGTAAATAGGAGAAACCTAGAATTTATGTAAACAGTGAGAAGATTGGATGTGTTTTCCGTCACATATTTTAATACTAGCAGCATATTATATATGTCAATCCATCAGGCATTCAGAAATACATGCTTATGAAAATTTTTTCATCATCAGACAAAAGACAAGGGTAGAAGACATTTGTAACCCTATAAACTCTAGTAAATTAAAAACAGAAGGACCTTTATGTCCTAACATATCTGTGTTGTGAAAGGCTGCCCTGTGAAATACGGGATTTCTTAAACATATTTTAAAAATCATAGGTGTCAATATTTTTTAGAAATCCATTTAAATTTTCTCTTGCTGTTTTACAATGCCTATTTATTTATTTAGTGGCTCTGCTGATTTTGATGTATATCCTAAACTTTACATTTTCTTTAAAAGATGTTTTATACAACTTTACGTAAAATGTTTCAGTATCTTCACATTCTCTCCCTGTCCTTTTGTTTTGCTCTTATATGGTGGTCTTGAGTCTTTTCTCTGGCTTTTCAAACCTAGTAAGACTAAGACACTAAAGTAACTTTGCCCGTGGTTTGGTAATATTTTCTAAAGCACATCCTAAGCTCTCATGCATACAGGGGTCTCCTTTGAGCTCTGTGCTTTTGAGATCCCATATACCTAAATTCCAGTATTGCAAATCAGTACTGCTCAGTTTCAGTTACTAAGTTTAAAAATGTATTTTAATAGCAAGTTAGTTTAGTGCACTCTTGCTTCTTTCTTGACTGCTTGTATACATGTATATTCCTTTAAATGAATCTTGGAATTTATTTAAAAATTTTAAATTATACTAATGAAACTGTATATTGTTGTGAATTCATAAGTGAATTTGGAAAGAATTTGTCTTTATGATACTAAATCCTTTTTATCCAAGAATCATGTGTCTTTATATTTATTCCTGTCTATATTTATGTCACTGAGTAAATATATAGAAATGTAGATACATACAGCTGTAGTTATAGATACAAATATAGATATAACATGTTAAATCTATATCCCGTATAACATATATACATGTTATATGTGTGTGTGTATATATATATATGTTTATGTTATTAAAGAGCTCCCTTAAAATTTTTATTTTATTTCCTATATAATTTTAGGTCGAGCTTGAATTTTCCTTGTATAAACAAGCAAATATTTATACTAGTTTTAATACTGATGTTTAGACATTGCATCTTATTTTAGCATTGAATATTTTCACAATTATAAATATTATCTAATATTAATAATGTACCTGTTAAAAATATTTAAAATTTTACCTTTGAATTATTTTATTGTTGAATTAAAATTCCTTTAATATGATAGTAAATTTCTATTTTATGCTTTCTCTATGCATATGCAAATTAATCTATCCACTTCTCTATCTCTATGTAGTAACATATGAAAATCAGACCTCTCTTCTTCTAATGGACATACACATGTTTGCCTATAGAATATCAGACTCTTTATAGCATTTAAAATCTTTAAAGACATGAATATTGCCTTTTAACAAATATATTTTAGCATGTACTGAGAATCCCCTATTTATTTTTAATTTGGGCTAATCAATATGATTATTAATATTATTGGATTACCAAATTTGGAAGCACACTTTCATCCCCAAGGTGGATATTTGTTTTATTTTTTTTTTGCCAATTTCTTGTGTTACTGTTTCAAATATTGTTGAAAATTATTTTTATTTTATTTGGCATTTTAGTATCAACATTTGCAATTGAGGTACTCTACATATTTTTTCTTCAATATCTGGTGGGTTTTATATTTACTGTTATATTGGATTTGTAGTAGACATTGACAAAAATTATTGCTGTATGTTTTATAGCTGTATGAAGGAAACTAATATATTTTACCCCTAAATATATTTCCTTGATATATTTCAAAATGGCTATTGAGAAGGGCTGGAAATGCAAACTTAGCTGCAAAGCTGTCTTGGGGAGATTTGCACTGTTAGAGAATCTGCCTTGATGCAGCCAGGCTTTCTCTGAGTTCTGCCCCCTTGTCTGGATCTAGGAAAGGTTAACTGAGAGTCTGAGGTCTCCAAAGGTCTGAAAGAAACATTTTCTGTCTATTTCTCTCTGAGGACTGCTCCCAGTGAGGTTCCACCTATGTAATAAGTCCACTGTTGCTAGTCAGGGTCGTTTTCTCACATAACCTTTTTTTTTTTTTCCCTGTGATCCAAGACCCCATTCTTTCTGTAAACTTCATGTGGTAGATAAGCTTCTGCACGCATCGTGTGTCTGGGTCTTCGTTCTAAGGGCTCCAGTGTACACACATTGCAGAAACCTGTATGCCTTTTCTACTATTTATCTGCCTCCTATTAGTGATTTTCAGGGAAACTTCAGAAGGCAAAAGGGACATTCTCCTTTAGCCCATTCTCAGACAAAATCCCCCAACATTTAACTGATTCCTAATAGCTTAAAATCACTTTGAAAAATCCGTATATTTATAACCTTTTCTTCCCTCTATGATTTCTGGTCAGCTTGGGTTTTGTTTTTCATTCCATTTACTTCATCCTCGAAAAGATCTATTTTACGTCTATTTATTCTCATTTATGGACCTTGAGAAAAGAAAATAACTTTCATATGAGAAATGCAAGTCCTTTGAAATAATCAGGCCCAGAGAGATATTCAAATGAGACAGCAGTTCTGTCCTGCTCCTCTTTGAGCTGTGTGTTCATCTAGGCTGCCGCTGTTACCACAGTAGCTATAAATTAACCAATAAAGCCACACCAGACACTATAATCCACACCCAATAATAGTGTAACAGTGTATAGCCAATCACTAATAAATGTTATTTCCATAAGCCAATGAGAATTTGTGACAAACCTCTTTGCATCATCCCACTTCTGGACCCTTTTTTGCCTTTAAGAAACTGCTTGTTGCAAAGCTCCAAAGGGAGTTCATATCCAAGGATACTTGGGTCTGTTTCTTCCAGGCAGCTGTCCTCATTGTGGATCAAGTAAACTCTTTGAATTACGTTTTGTGCTTCAGCCCCTTCCACTTAGATTAACAACATGATTTTGTGTCACCATGTACAGCAATTAAAATGTTTACACTTTTCCTCTCCAGGGCACTGATGTGTTTTCCTGAGCACTTGGAATAGCTACATAGTGTTTACTGTCTAGATTATGGTTTCTCAACCTTGGTGCTACTTACCTTTAGGACCAGAGGATTCTTTGTTGTGGGAGGCTGCCCTAACAATGCTAGGTGTTTCGTTTGACCTCTAAATTTCACACCTCCACCAGTCTTGACATCCCCACAATAACCCTAGACATTGACAAATGTCTCCTGGGGAAAACTCTCCACCAGTTGACAGCCAAAGTTCTGGAAATATTGGAATTGTCAATTGAGATTTTATGTTATCCAAAACAAATATTTTTCTTTGTTTTTAAACATCTACTTCCATCTACTTATCTACTTATTTTTACTTTTATTTGTAACTTAATTCCATCAAGGAGAGAGAGTGCATTTTCTGTTATGCTAAATTTTTGAAGAATGTATTGATTTTTTCTGACCTGATATATGGATGATATGTAGATATTACATGTTTGTATTATCAAATTTCAGGGCGATAATAAAATAAATACTTATAATATTTATATTGTCACTGTATATTAGTTATTTTCTTTCTTCACTACAGGAGTTTTTCAACCTGTAGGCTATTTTTCAATTCTAGGTTATCCAGTCGATTTTGAAATGTTATGATCAAATATCTACTTCTCAAGCATTCATCTTTGCAAATGAAACAATCCCAAGCTCTTATAATGCACATCATATAAAGGGGAGATTAGTCAATATATGTTTCAGAAATAATTATGTAGTATTTGTAAGAAATTGAAAATTTAGATCCTTAACTCAGATAACAATAATCCAAATTAAAATTTGATTTCATTACATAATTTAAAATGACACCAGAATACTAGTAAAAATGTAGATAAGTTTATATAATCTATTTTAGCTGTAGGACTTTATTAGCATAAATTCAAATACAGGAACCAAAGTAAGATTGAGACCTATAGTCAAAGGTTAAAATGTACACATTATAAGGGCATGATTAAACTAATTTAAAGCATAATAACATGGAGAAATGTTGCAAAACATATATTTTACTGAATTAATTGTTAATATCTAATCATTATGTAAGAACAAAATTAAAGAGTAGCTACACAAGCACACACCCACACACAAGTGCAATATTGTCAAATAAACGATGTTCAGCTACACTAGAAATCACATCTGTGTTTTCTCCACAGAAAAGATTAAAAATCACAATAATATTTATTGTACATACGGAGGTAAAGATACTCAAAATATTACCCTAAAATACATTTTTTTTGAGATGGAGTTTTGCTTTTGTTGCCCAGGCTAGAGTGCAATGGCACAATCTTGGCTCACTGCAACCTCAGCCTCCCAGGGTCAAGTAATTCTCCTAGCTCAGCCTCCCAAGTAGCTGAGATTACAGGCATGCACCACCACACTCGGCTAATTTTTTGTATTTAGTAGAGACGGGGTTTCACCATGTTGGTCAGGCTGGTCTCCAACTCCTGACTTCAGGTGATCTACCCACTTCAGCCTCCCAAAGTGCTGGGATTACAGGCGTGCACCTGGGCAGCTTTTTGACATATTTCAAGATGGCTACTCGGAAGACTAGAGATAGCTTCTTCTACAAGAATAGCTGAAAAGCTGTGTTTGTTGGGGAGATTTGCATTTGTAGAGAAAAACTGTATTGATGTAGACAGGCTTTCCCTGAGATACTCCCTTGTGTGGGTTTAGGAAAGATTAACTGAGTCTGGCACGTTTACATTTCTAAAAACCAATTCCTATCTATACTTCCCAAGAGGAGGGCTGCTCCCTGTGATGTTTCATCCATGTAACAAGACCACCTCTGCTGTCAGGCTCCTCTTTCTTCCTTGTCGTCACCTGTATTCCGCAAAGCCTGATTTACCAACCTACAGCTCTGTGTTTTCTGTAACCTCAAGACAGCATAGGCGTGTTGACTACCTTGCCTTTTCTGGAGTTTTTATATATATAGCATATATTTGTATATCTATTTATAATATACAAATATTTGTATAGTTATATTTTTATATATTATGTAAACTGCAAGTGCATACTTGTGCACATATCTGTAAACCTTTTTTCTGTTAATTTGTACATTATCAGTTTGTTTTATAGACTCAAATAATTAAAGCTTCAAGGGAAAAATTTAAACTTTCCTATAGAGAAAAGACAAATATATAGGTGACAAATAATATTTAGAGTGTAAGACGCTTTTTAAAGGTATATTTGCAAATTGTGTCAAAACATTGAAATATACATTTGTTATTTTAACTATAAAATTTCAAATAATTTAAGCCAAATACATAGTATATGCAGAAAATTTAGCAACATATCTATGTAGCACCTTACTGTGCATTACTGTAACCAGCCGTCTAATATGAAGAATTAATTAAGGTAGCAGCTACTTTTCAAATAGCGCATTTTTTTGACAGACCTATTAAATAAGACCAATAACATTTAAACTTTATTTTTAAATTTGCAGAATAGTGGTTTTCAGCAGATGGTTTATTTTAGCAAATTCCATCTTCACATTGTGCTATGCTTTTATGATTTCCAGCAGTTAACGGATAATATTTTACTGCTGAAACTACCATTTGTGATATAATTGCTCATTATGGGCCTTAAAACACAAGCAATATAATTATTTTCAACTTGGAGCAAATTAAAATCTTATCAGCAATTTAAAAACTCTTGAGTCGTCTTCTTCTGGTTAATTATTTTAAACTTGTATTTTTCTCTTTATGTTTTTAGTGAGTTGTCTTATCAAGGAGAAGAACTCCAGCTGATTATGCTTTTTTTTCTCTTCCATCCACCTCGCAGGTGTGTTAATAATTTCATTTCCCAGAAAATGTTCTTTCATATCCATCTTACAAGATGAGAGACCTTTTAACATCTTCCATTCGGATGTGATACCAGTAATGGAAAATATTCCAGCTTCATGAATATGGTGATACAAATGGTTATCCGTCTAACCTCTTTCAGTGCCAAATGTTTACTCAGTGAATTACTCAGTTGACTGGTAATTTCTTCTGAAATCACTAATGAGAGGATCAGAGTTCTGGCTGTTGTCTGTATCTCACATGACTTCCAGTGCAGACAATTGTTTCTATGCAGCACAGACAGTTGAAAGGATTGACTTCCTACCTAGAATAGTTTCTGCTGTGCTTCTTATCCTTCTTGTGGAGATTTCAGATTATCTGAATTGCTTTTCTATCTTAAGAAAAAACGCAACAATTCTCCCACCTGAGAGGAATGCAAACTGTAGTAAGTTAGCAGAACCAATCCGTAAAGCTTTTACATTGTTTGTTGCAAAATGCAGCGCTGGTGTCTCCATCACTAACCTTTTCTATCCCTCATTGCTCTTTCTTTGACTGCAATAGGATACCTCTAGGCAAATCTGTATTCCCGAGACAGAGTGCCCTTTTGGTGAGCTATAAGCACACTCAATGGTAGGCTGAAATACTAGCTTTTATCTATGGCGAAATGGAATCATATCAGTGATTTTTTTAAAAAGGAAATTTAACTCTTGCTATGGTTTGAATGCTTGCCCCTTCCAATCTCATGTTAAAATTTGATCCCCAATGTTGCAGGTGGGGCTTACTGGAAGGTGTTTGGTCATGGGGTTGGACCTTCATGAATGGATAATACCCTCCCTTAGAAATCTAAAGCTATCCTCCCTCCTCGGTGCCCTCAGGAATGAGTGTACCATTCTTTATTCACCTATAATTCCCCCACCCATCCTTTTTGAGATGTTAATTACATGTATGTTACACTGCTGCATATTGTCTGACTTATCAGTGAGTTTCTGGCTTTCTTATTTTAGTTTACCCTTTGTCCTTTAGTTTGTAAAGCTTCTATTTTTTTCTATAAATTTTCTGATGTTTGGGTAAAATCCATTACTTATTCTATCTCATGGAATTTTTATTTCTAATATTTATTTTTCATCTATACATGTCACATTTTTCATTTTATAACTTCTATTTTTCTATGTTCAATTTTCATTTAAGTGCCTTGACATATATATGTATTTACCTATATGTATTTATAAAATATGTTTACTTTAAGGACCTTGAAATTTCCTTCTTTTCTGTCATTTATAAATGACTTATTTTTATCCTGTTAATATATGTCTTAAGTATATATATCTTACGGCTTCTTTGCATGTCAGAGTTTTTTTTGGGGGGGGTTTTTTGATGTTATGCTATTGACTATCTAGATTTTATTGGCTACCTTTGAACAATGTTGTGGCAGGCAGTTCAGTAACTTCAGGATGAGTATTTGTCTGTTGTTGTTTTAAATCTTCTCTTTAAACTTTGTGGAGTTAGTCTAGAGCCATCTGTAATTTGGAGCTATATGAGCACTGTCACTAGGGCATGAAACTCCAGTGGTCTTTACTGAATATCCTAGAGATACAGAGGTGATTCCCTTCTCTGATTAGAATTTGGAAGATAAAGAGAAAAGAGAAAAATACAAAGCTATGCATAAACACGTGCATTAAAGTGAATTTTATGTGGGCTTTTTCATGAAAATGTTCCTAAGGTATTTTATTTTTTTATTGTGGTAAAATACACATAACATAAAATGTACTCTGTTAACCATTTTAAGTGTACAGTTCAGTGGTACTAAATAGAGTCATAACATTGTGCAGCCGTCCCTACCATCCATCTCCATAATTCGTTTCATCTTGTAAAACTGAAACTCTATACCCATTAAAAAATACTTCCCCATTTCTTCCTCCCCCCAGCTTCTGGCAACCATCATTGTACCATCTCTGTAATGCTAATCAAGCATAGTGGCTGTGTTTCTTGCTTCCTCTAGTCCGCAGGTAGAATACAAATGTAATAAACTACTTATTCATGTCACATCTATTTATTTTCTGCCTTATACCAAGCTTGTGGGATTCTCTTAAATACAACATTTTTATACTTACACCTATGCAATACCCATTAGCATCGCCTTCCTAAATCAGGGGAAATTGAGCCTCTGTAAGGTGGAGTAACTTCCTAAGATATAAAACTCAGCATTGAAATCTGTATACTTCAATATCCTGCGCTCTTCTCATTTGTCTTTACTATCTTTTATGTATGTGTTAGATGTCCAATAAATTCTCTTTTTTAAACTGAATTTAAGCCATGGAGCAGTGTTTTGTTGAACAATAAATATGATATAGGACACTCTTCCTCCCTTTCATTTATGATCCTGTTCATGAAAAAGAGAAATTCTTTCATTGTGCTAGAAGCTTAAAATAAGGAAAATGCCACTTTCTACATTAAACAGAAACTGAAGGGAATCAAGGTGAATTGCATGAGACATACAAAACAAGTGGGAAAGAAATCTAGTATAATTTGCCCTTTGTGTACCTTTATTATTTAGCGTTTGAGTAAATGATTCCCCCAAATATCTTCCCATCTTAATTCATGTCTATAAAGTAGACATTTATGTCTCACCTTGTCAAGAAGGGCAAACTCTAACATAAACATTTCCCAAAAATGCTTCCTGCTAAAACATAAGCTCAGTCTGGCAGGAAATGCAGCTCACTTCATAAAGATTAATTGGTAGCTAATTTTGCATGCTGTTCTCTGAACTTGAGTGAAACCTGTCCATCAGGCATACAGGGCATGATGGAAAAGGTGACAACAGAAGATGAATGCTATGTCACTAACCTTCAAAGATGACCTGCCTTTTCTTTCAAATTCTTGATATCTTAATCAAGATATCATTAATTCATCTCTCTTTGCCCTTGGTTCAACATTGTGCTATACCAAAACTCATATAAAACAATGATCTAATATAATAAAAATGGCATTTTTCTTTGATGTAGATGCAAGCTAACTGGCATTTTTACAATCCACATATTTCCTTTGTCAATTTTTCATTCTGTATTGGAAGTAATTGATAGGTATTTCTGAAGGGATGAAGGTGTTTCTGTGTTCATTGTGATCCAAACTATTTTTAGACCTAGGGGCGTTTGTAAAACAATTTGTGCCAGCTGACCAAGGATCACTGTGGCAGAAAGCAGCAAATTTGCATAAGATGTCACTGCCTCATAAGTTGGCTTTGAAAACTAGGGGCTTACTCTATAGTCTTATGAATCAAAGGCATTGATAGATGTAGTATAAGATTACAATCATACTTTCCTTTTGACAGTCACATTATAAAGCATGATGTATTGCAATTAATCTCAATTAGCTGATCACAATTAAAATTAATAATGTTTATTATTGCTGATAAACAATCATGACTCTCCTGTTCTCAAATGTGCAAATAATTCTTGTAATTTTAATACAAATTTGCATATTATTATTAATTGATTTAATCTCATTGCATTTGGTTCATGGATCCAATTTATTAAAATATTGATAATGGGATAATGATTTGTTTCCCCACTTCATGTACACTAAAAACAATTCTTACAATGGTCTGCAACCCCATCATGATCTGCCTCATGTTAACCGCCAAAATTCTTTTATATCTTCACCCTTGATCTTACCAGTGGTCCTGGCCACCTCACTGTCCTCTGGACATGCCAACACGCTGCTGCCTTATGACCAAGACTCTAGTTAATTTCTTGGCTTGGAAAGATAGCCCTCCATATATCCATTGATCAGCTCATTCAACTTCCTCAAGTCTTTACTGAAACTTCACATTCTCGATGAGGCCTATTCAGTATTTCAAACTGCCTCCCAGCTGCAACTTTCCAAAACCCCTTACTCTTCTGTGTATTTTTTAAAGGATTTATTGAGATAAAATTTACATAGTGTAGAGTGCACACATTAATGTCTACAAGTCAGTGACTTTTAGTATATGCACAGATAAGTGGAGCCATCATCACAATGAATTTTAGAGCATTTTCATCACTTCAAAAAGAAACCCCACCTTCTCTAGCTGTTAACATCCTATACACTCATCCCCTACTCAATCCTAAGCAACCACAAATCTGTTTTCTTTCTCTATAGACTTTACTATTCTGTTTTCATCTAAATAGAATCATACAATAGGTGGCCTTTTCTGCCTGGCTTCTTTCAGTTGGCATAATGCTATCAAGGTTCATGTACGTATTGGTACTTTATTTCTTTTTATAACCGTATAACATTCAATTTCATGGATATAACATTTTATTTATCCAATAATATTTTTATTGACATTTGAGTTGTGTTCAGCCTTTGGCTATTTTAAATACTGCTGCTAAAAATACTTGTGTACAATTTGTGTTTGAACACCTCTTTCCAATAATCTGGGTGTATACCTAGGAATAAATTTCTGGGTCATATGACAATTCAATGTTTAATATATTTAGAAGCCATCAAATTATTTTACAAAGTGGCCAGTTCTAGCCATAGAGTATCTAACTGTGGTTTTGATTTGTAGTTGCCTGATGAGTGATGCTATTGAGTATCTTTTTATGGGATTATTGGCCGTTCGTGTATCTTCTTGGGAAACACATCTATTCCTATCATTTATCAGTTTTGAGTTGGGATATTTGTTACTGAGTTAAAACAATTTTTCTATATTCAAGATACATATATATACAGACATATAGATACGTGTTTTTCAAATATCTTCTCACAATTTTTGAGCTGCCTTTTGACTTGCTTGGTTGTCCTTTGAAACACCAATGTCTTTAATTTTTAACAAATTTTAAATATCTAATTTTTATTTTGTTGCTCATGTTTTTGATGTTACAGCTATTTCTTTGCTAGATCCAAAATCGTGAAGATTTTCCCATATGTTTTATTCTAGCTCTTGCATGTGTGTCTTTAATTCATTTGAGTTAATATTTTTGTATGCTTTGGGGTAAGGGTTCCAATTTATTATTTTGCAAGTGGTGATCCACGTGTAAGTTGTTGAACCAGTTTGTTCAAAGACTGTCTCTTCCTCATTGAATTGCACATGGCACCACTGTAAGAATCCATTGACCATAGACACATAGTTTTATATATGGACTCTCAATTCTCTTCCATCAATCTATATATTTTTCCTTCATCAGTATTTTGTTGTCTTGATTACTGATACTTTGCAGTAAGGTTTGGAGCATGGGGGTGTGAATTATCCTAATATGTTTTCTTTTTTCAAGATTATTTTGGCTATTTTGAGTCCCTTACAATTCCATGTGTATTTTAGAATCAGCTTGTCAGTTTCTAGACAGAAGTCTGTTGGAATACTTGCAGGGATTTCATCAAATCAGTAGTTCAAATTGTAAAGTAATACAGTATTAAATCTTCCAATTCATGGCTGTAAGATGTTTGCTAATTACTTATTCTTTAAACAATAATTTTTAATTTTCAGAGTAAAATCCTGTATCACATTTTCCAAATTAATTATTATTTCTTTTTATGATGCTATTTTAAATTGAAGTGTTTTCTTAATTTCATTTTGGGGTTTTCATTGTAGATGTGTGCAATTGATTTTTGTACATTTATCTTGTATGCTGTAATATTGCTGAAATAATTTACTAGTTCTATCGTTCAGTGGATTCCTTAACATTTTCTATATACAAGAATGTTATTTTCAAATAAAGTTTTATTTCTTCCTGTTCAATATGGGTGATTCTTATTTTTTTAGTTGCCGATTTGCCCTGCATAAAATCTTTAGTACAGTATTGACTAGAAGAGTTCAAATTATATATCCTATTCTTATCTCTGACCATAGCGGGAAAGCATCCTTTACCATTAAGTTGCATGCTTGCTGTTGGCTTTTCACAGGTGCCATGTATCTGGTGTAGAAAGTTCTCTATTCCTGGTTCATTGAGTTTTTATTTTTATTTTTAATCATTAAAGCATTTGGATTTTGTTAAATGTGTTTTCCGAATCTATCGAGATGATCATGCAATTCTCGTTTCTTATTCTATGGATAAGATGTATTACCTTAATGGATTTTGGGCTGTTAAACCAACCTGGGAATACTTGTATAAATTTCACTTTGTCATAGTGTATAATTCTTTTATATGTTGCTAGTTCTGATTTGTTAGTATTTTTTAAGGAATTTTGCGTTTATACTTATAGTAGTTTTATTTTTCTATGATATTTGGACTAATTTTTGTATCAAGGTAACACTGGCCCCAAAGAGTAAATTGGGAAGTGAATATTTCTTTTTAAAAAAGCTAGTCAAGAATTAATATCAATTATTCAACACTAACAAATATTATTATAAATTATTAATTTCTCTAATTTTTATTTTCTTCCTTCTGCTTGCTTTAGGTTTAGTTTTTTATTCTTTCCAGCGCCTTAATGTGGAAGGTCATCTTATCCCATCCTTTCATTTGTCTTTTCATTCTCTAAATAGTGTCTTTTTAGCATCAGATGAGCTCCCCAGGTCGGTAGTACTCCATGTTTATTGCTGCACAACAATGACAGGTAGTATGTCCTGAAGACAATGGAAACTTAACATTCAAAATCTCCTAGATTCCACCTTATATGATATGTCTCTCCAATTGGTCCTAATTTCTACCCTTTCTCTATTATAAACCGTAAGTACAATGGCATTCAATGAGTTCTGTGAGTCTTTTTAGTAAATTCTTGAAACTGAGGGTGTTCAGGGGAAACCCCTGAACTGGCAGTTGGTGTCAGAAGTGAGAATCGTCTTATATGGCCTCTTCCTTTGAACTTTGCAGCTGGACGCAAACTCTGCACAATTTGGGCCAGAAGTCTCGTGTTGACTTTGCAGCTTAAAGTATCTTGTAGTTTGTCTAACCCTCAATAAATTTGCTTTCATCAAATATTGTATTTGTTACTCCAAAATTACCATCACGTTTTTTTTCTCCAAATAATTAAAATTGGGAGAAACAGCCAGCTGAGTCTGTAACTCAACAGAAACAAGTGATCCATATACCATATACCATATAAGTGGCCATTTCATTTTGCCTTCTTCCACCAAATCTTAGCAACCTTAACCATTGCCATGAGCCACTGTATGCCTACCAGCTACAAACAAACAAGTATCTTTTAAAAACATTTCATACTCCCATTTGATAAATTTCCCAGCAAAGAGATGCCTACTTTAACTCTATGCAAGTGGCTCATATGCACTAAGTCTGTAGATATTATTCATGTAGTGTGAGAAAATCATCCCAGCGATGCCAGCACATTCTCCTTCCCATGATCTGCTTAGTTTGCAAACATATTCAGGCCATGGGTGAGAGATTTGTATTTCACAGTACAACAGTTTTATGGAGGACATTGAAACTTACATTGAGCATTTTAGTACAGCCACACATCACTGAATGATAGGGATACGTTCTAACAGATGCATCCATAGGCAATTTCATCATTTTGCAAACATCACAGGGAATATTACAAACACCTAGATTGTACAGCCTACCACGTCTAGGTTATATGGTATAGCCTCTCTCTCCCAGGCTACAAACCTGTGTACTACATTACTGTACTGAATACTGCAGGCAATAAGAACACAATGGTAAGAGGTTATGTATCTAAACATACTTAAACATAGAAAAGTATGTAAAAATATGTATTATAATCTCATGGACCACTTTTGTATTTGTAATCCATCTTTGACTGAAATGTTATTATGCATGACAAGACTCTGACAAAAATAAAATAACACATTGTAAAAAATGTACACAGATATCAAACATATTAATATTGTAAAAATAAAAATATTTATTCAGTGTAAGAATTTGTAATGATCACAAAATGTTCACAGCTTATATTTTAGTACAGTTTCAAATGCCTGGTGCAATTACTATTTATTTCTGTGTGTATTTTAAACATGTATATAATAAATATTTTTCAGGTTCAACAATATATATCAATCCAACTGGCTCTTATAAATATTAGTTAAAATCAATTAGTAAATTCATATATATATATACACACGTGTATCAGTCTGTATGCATGTATGTGTGTGTAAATGTAACTGTGTGTGTAAATGTAATTGGATGCATCCTAATATTTACCTTTACCTACAAGATTTCCTTTGAGACAGCATTAAAGAAAGAGCACCTTGTATATAAATTCAATGCGAAGAGACAAGATATTCTTGATTCTGAAGTCTTGTTCTTTGATACAGCAATGTAATTAATAATAAGAAGAAAAGCAGGACATAGATATGGAGTCTATTTTAAACAAAAATTGTCTATAGATTTTGATGATAAAATTTAAAAATCTACTATATTTAGTTAGTCACAAAAAACCAGGTTGTGGGAACATATTTGGTCAATAAAACACCCCTACCAAATGCTGACAAGAAAAAAAGTTAGGTACCACCTTTCTTCTCTGCAGATGGCCTGAGATGGGTTAATTTGAAAGAATGCTTCCAAACCTGAGGTGACCCCTGAGAACAGCATAATCCACTGCTGTCTCCTACATTCAGTTTCTCAGTCTGTGCTCTTTTAATTTTGGGGGGAGGGAAGCCAGTCCTTTAAAGCGATCTTCAGCATGATGGCAGAGCCAAGGAGTGTGGACAGGTGGCACGGTGTCTGACTTTGTTCCATCAGCCACTTGGGCTTTCTCTGGGTCTTCTCTGCCCTAGGGATAGCACTACTATTGAAAACATGTCTTTGTGACATTGTCTATGCCAGGAACTCCCAACATATTTTCCTTGAAACTGATGAAATGAATAAAAATAAACCAAGAGGTGTGCTGTTTGTTTCTGTTTCCTCCTTTCTGCAGCCCTTCTTGATCATCTAATATTTTTAAATACATTGTCGATCACCAAAAGGAGCATAAGGGCTTTATTGGTTTGTAGCAGATGTATTAATAGCCCAGCCCCTATTCCTTACCTGTAGCTGCTGGGAAGAAAACCATTCTTAACACTCTACAAGGTCTCATCTCCAGAATTTGCACCTGTTTCTAGCTGAGGACTTTCTCTAGCAGCACGGGAGCTTGTGATTGGGCATGAAGTGGGAAGAAAAGGTGAGGGTAACTAAGAAGAATCTCCCTGGATTCAGTGATGTAATTCTGAGGCATGTTCCACGTAGCTTCCCATAAAATTAAGCCCAGATATCTAACACAGGAACTTACCTCTTAACACGTGTGGTATTGGCTTGTCTCTCTTTCCTGTTTTATTTTGTTCTCTTTTCCTTGTCTCACTTTCACTGTGTCCTCACTCCTGCTTTAAGAATACCCAAACAAATACGTTCATTTATTTTTTTAGACTCTCAGAACAGAGTTGATAGTTGAACTTCTAATCTATGTTAATCAGCTTGGATGCAATACTGACAGGAAGATGGTGAACTCACAATGTCTAATTAAGATACAATTTAAAAAATATATTGAATCATGTCCAAAGATTTAAAAAACCTAAGTGGCAGTGTCACAATTTCTTCTTTTTAGTTTACATGGTTTCTTAAATGCCTACAATTATTTTAAAGGAAGCCTTGAGTCTAGGAAAAATTGAGACATATGGAATAAATTACTAACCCATTTCTCCTTGAAATCCATTAGATGATTGATGATTTTTTCACATATATTTCTGAACTGAAAAGCTAGTTGGGAATTATTTTTATAAGGATATCCTTATGTAATATTTTGTTTCTAACAGAGAATTGAATGTTTAAAGATTAAATTATTCTATCCAGAGAATAAAAAGCAATTATTTCACAAGGAAACCATGTGTATGTTGACACGACATTTTAAAATCTAGATTTTAAAATAGGTCCCATATAATTTTGAGTCAATTAGAATATGTTTGTATCAGTCTGTCTACAGTTTTACACCTGTCAAAAGGTACTTGAACTAAAAGAAGTACCTTGAACAATTTTGAAATTTATTATTCCTCTGAAACTGATTAAAAGAATTATGGTAGAGTGAAATTCTGATTGGCATAATTTGGGAGAGAAATTATTCCTTGGAGATCAACCTCTGCCAAGATACTTTATAATGACATTGAGACTTTTTGATTTACAAAACTTGTTATATAAAAAATACTAAGATGATGACAGATAATACACAGACTAATTAAAATTGTACTAGAATTAATTGTCTAAATAAATTACAAGGGTACGTCGTACATCTAAATGTATGTTTATATATTTTATTTGTGCATTTTATTCCTAGGGTTGCTTTTGCTTTAGTTTGTAAAACGTTCTTATTTTTATGATAATGTAGTATATACTAAATAAAGAAAAATCAGGAAATAGAAAATGAAGAAGAAAACATTAGCTATTGTCAACCAAATAAAAATCGTGCAATCTCTAAGTACATGAACGATGTATTATTTGTACAGCATGTACAATGTTTATGCTTCACAGGGTGAGGTAGAGACTGTAAAACATTGAACCTGGGAAAAATAAGAAAGTAAGGACATTTTCACAACATATTAATATTATAGAAAATGTTGAACTTAACAGTTAAGATACAAGTAGTGAAAAATGATAGTATTTAAGGAGATCTAGAAAATTTAATCTATATCAGTAATGTGTGAGAAGTATTAGAATAATGCTTGTATTTCTGGATTGGCATCGATTTCTATTGAGACTGGAAATGTAACAGAAGTGAGCAAAAAAGAATTTAAATTGTGGATACTTGAGTTTTATACCTAGGAGTTCGAGAAATACATTTTGTTACTATCAAAGCAGTTGGCACAAGAGTGTACAAAATTCCCTAATTGTGTCTATGTGGAGAAGACATAGACAAACAGAGAATAGCAAAACAGAAATAGCAAAAAAGCACAAATAAATTTTACCTGTATTTTTAAGTAAAAGCCAATTAGAGAAGGAAAACATGAAATTTGTGTTTTATCAAAATTTTTCTCTTTCTCATAATATAGTTGAAAATATTACTGCAAAAAATTTGAAGCACTGGTATGTTCACAAAAAAAGTAAAATATAAGGTCAAAACCATGGGAATGCAGGGAGCAGACAAAATACACCTAAACACGGAAACTGATTTTGCCCTACAGACATGTAGCAAAATGAATGAGTGCAGATTCCTACTGTCATACATCACATAGGATAGTAAAGAAATACATAGTTTTTCCCAAGATAGGGCATCACACAGAAGCTCTTCCCTAAAGCTAGGACCAAAATTTATATCCTCAGTATAAAGAAGAATCAGAGGTAAATTAGTCCCATTTCACATTCCCTGGAAATGGCAAATAAAAATGACTTGAGATTGGACAGATTTAAAGAAACTCAATCATTAATGATTTACAGCAATTAATTTAAAAATTGTTTAAATGTGCAGTCCAAACATATGTCCAAACACCTTTAGGCCAAGAATTAATATAATGTGGTCCCAGAATGGTGGTGCCTTTAGAAGACTCACAACAAATTCAAATTCTCTTTGGCAAATTTTCTTCTTACTAATATGCAAAAGTGCACAATAATAATTTTCAGAGAAAAATAAATCTTTGTCATTCAAAGGCATCTAAGTATGCAAGGAAATGATATTCTACCATTTGAAAGGAAAGCAGAAAAAGAGTACAAACCGATCCACAAAGGTTCATTAGTAGAAATATCACTGTTAGATTATAAAGCTCATTTAATTTCAAGAAATTTTTTAAAAAATGAATATATTTTTAGGAGACTAAAAAATTGATGTAGCAAATTTGAAAAGTAGTTTGTATATAGTATTTTAAATTAAAAACTCAAAAATGAACTCATCAGATTAGACATGGCCATGGTGAGAGTTCATAAATATTTCAGAATGCATTACAGAAAATTTTAAAAAATGCACAATGTGGACAGAATCATGAAGAGACATGGAAGATACAGTGAGAAAGTGTAGCATGTGTTTAGTGAGTGTTCTCTTAGAAGAAGGGAACTGGGAAGGGACAATATGTGATGGTATTTTGGCTGAAAGTTCTCTAGACTCTTGTAAGACACTAATCCACATATTCAAAAATTCTATGCATGCTAAGCAAGCTACAGTGGAGATAAACCTACCTCTACATATCTCCTAGAGAAATAGTAAACAATCAGGAAGGGAAAAATATTTCAATTAGCACTAGAAAAATCAAATTACCTTTAATCATATTGAAATCTGAAAGCATGAAAGGTAAAATAAACAATATTATTTGTTAAGAATAATAATGCCACTCTGAAATTCTCAACCAAGAAAAATATTCATCAACCTATGGCTAAATAACATATTTAGAGACAAAAAACAAAACACCACCAGCAGAATTCCACTAAAGAAACTAAAAAGAAACTCTGAAAACATGCTTCAGAAAGATTGAAGTTCTGAAATCAAAGAATGAACACAGAGAAAAATATATTGTAAACATACAGATAGATCTAAATAAAAAATTAGGTGTTGAAACAAAAAGATATTTAAAATTAGATAAGCACTGCAATATGTATGTTAGGAAGCAAATTATTAGGGCTGAAGTATTCAAAGACCCCTTAATTGTCTGACAAGAGCAGAAAGGTATGACTTTGCAATTTTTTTTTTTTTTTTTGAGAAGGAGTCTCACTCACTCTTTCTCCCAGGCTGGAGTGCGGTGGCGCCATCTCGGCTCACTGCAACCTCTGCCTCCCAGGTTCAAGCAATTCTCCTGCCTCAGCCTCCTGAGTAGCGGGGATTACAGCCACGTGCCACCATGCCTGGCTAATTTTTGTATTTTTAGTATAGACGGGGTTTCACCATGTTGGTCAGGCTAGTCTCCAACTCCTGACCTCGTGATCCACACGCCTCGGCCTCCTGAAGTGTTGAGATTACAGGTGTGAGCCACTGCGCGCGACCGACTTTGGAACTTTAATAAATTGACTGGACATTATGCATTTCTCTGTTGTATCTATGAAAACAATAAAAATAAAAGTCATAATTTTAAAACAAGAATACAGAAACTGATAGGAGAAAATGAGACAGTATATATATATATATATATACACACAACAAATTAATAATACAAAATTAAGTATAAATGATCAAAGATTAACTTAAACCTAAGTAGACAATGTTTTTGTTAAAATACAAAGATTGGCAAAATTTAAAACATCTGTCTCTATCATAGTTACAAGAGAGGCAACTAATATATAAATTTACAGGAACTTTGAAGTTTGAACAATACAGATACTGTGTATATATGATATACATACAAACATACTACATGAATATAATTTTTTAAAAAGTTGCTATGTAGACAAAACAGAATGTAAGTTAGAAATATTTATTAAAATAAGTTAGTCTAACCAGTGTGATAAAAGTTTTAAGTTATTAAGAAGATGTGATGACTTAAATGTGCGTTAGCCTGATACATACATATATATATACACACAAACCACACACTCTCTCACAACCACAGACATACACGTATTTAGAGAGAGAGTCAAATTATATAAAGCAAAAATATCAGAAAGTAGAAATGGATAAGCCCCCAAATATTATAGACATTTCAAACACACATCTTTCAATAATAGATAAAAGAAAAAATTAAAAGAGTAAGTTTTAAAAGAAGCTAGTGGATTTTAAAAAGGGCAAATATTATATAAGGAACATGAATATTATAGTTCATGTTATTTTCTTGTTCATACAGAATACTTACAAAAATTAACATTTTCTAGACCATACCACAAATTCAAACAATTTTCACGGAAATAACGTGACACAGAATATACTTCCTAAACAAACAGCAATGAAGGCAGATATCAATACAAAAACGAAAGCTAGAAACATAAGTCTAATAATATTGGTTGGAAGCTATTTTAATGAATATTGAAATATTTTAAAGGTGAATAGTCCATACAAATAAACCAAACACTTTTTTAAGGCCACTAAGATGCATGTGTAATGTGTAATGCCTCCTTTTATAAGGAGTCAATCTGTAACATCACCTGGGCTATTTGACAACTGCAAAGTGAATGTGAGAAGGAGAGAAACAGTGAGAGAGAGAGAGAGAGAAAACCAGTAAAATAAAGAATGAAGGAGATAGCCAGGCGCCATGGTTCACTCCTGTAATGCCAGCACTTTGGGAGGCCAAGGCAGGTGGATCACCTGAGGTCAGGAGTTCGAGACCAGCCTGGTCTAACATGGTGAAACCCACTATCTACTAAATATACCAAAATTAGCCTGGCATGGTGGCATGCCTCTGTAATCCCAGCTACTCGGGAGGCTGAGGTGGGAGAATTGCTTGAACGTGGGGGGTGGAAATTGCAGTGAGTAGAGATCACGCGACTGCACTCCAGCTTGGGCGACAGAGCAAGACTCCGTGTCAAAAAACAAACAAACAAAAAAAAAAAAAACGAGGAAATAGTACACGAAAAAACAGAATTAAAGCAACTGGGTATATATTTAAAAATGCAAAAGCTCACTTTTTCAGAAAAATATTAAAATATTAAATCTAACAAATATCTAGGTAGACTGATGGAGAAAAATACAGAAAATGCACAAAAAACCAATTACCTGGAATGCGAATGTTACAAAACGTCAGCAGTTGTAGATTTTAAATAAGCAATGATTTTTGAGTTCAACCATGATGGTGTATATTGAAAAGAATCTCTCAGAAAAAAAGAAAAAGAAAACTGTTATAAAGCTATGTACAAAATGTTAAGCAGTATTAAAGTCTTCCAAATCTACCAGTTATGGAGTTATTGGTCTTGGACTAACTCTCCTGAAAAGAAAAAAACAAAACAAAACAAAACAAAACAAAACCTAAAAACCTGGAAAAAATGGCCTACCATGGGCACTGGCAATGCATCCAAGCAGGTAGGACCTGGGTGCTACATTCTCTTTGTCAGAACACAAAACATTCATACACTCTTCTCATCCTCACTTTCACCTTTTAATCTTAGATCTACTATTAAATGTATTCAACATTACTATCAATCCTTTGGTCAAAATTTCTTTACTCACATTGTGCTTGATGCACTTGGATAGACTGTTCAAGAACTTGTGAGTAGTGAATTCCTCAAACTCTTGCATATTTAAAATCACATTTTTGAACCTTGATGCTTGAAGTGTAGTTTGGGTAACAGATGACCTTTAAGCCAATTTTGGCATGCAAGGGGTTGTTTATTAGGCATCAGCACTGCTGAAAATCGTGGGGATGCAGGCTTAATTTCAACACTATTCTAAATACTTGAAAGATATTATATAATTCTTTAATAAACTCCTGTGTATAAAAATGGTTCACATTAACTCAATATCCATGATTAAACATTTACAAAATCAAGGCACTGTTATTTAGTGGAGACTTGCTGGCTATTCTATGAGAGGAGGTATTGTTATTGTAATCTCATCCTCTCATAAATATGTATCATATTACTCATAACCAGCCCTTCATATTCTATTCCTATTTTGGTATTTTAAAATAAGATATCTTTGAAACTCTTGAATTCAAAGAGGGAATCTGAATAATTTTTAAAATGTCAATGAAATGCCATTTCTTCATGCTTTAACAACTAAAAATTGACTAAAGTGCTTCTCTTCAAACTTTCTGGAACATTTTTTTATCTGAATTCTAAGAACAATCACATTAGGTTTTAACCACGAATGTGAGAATCTTCTAAATGTTAGGGTGGAAAAATTTTTTAAATAATTGTATAGTAATTTTTTTCATCATAGTGACAGTGTGCTAAATTTTTTTAAGCCAAGTATTACTGTAGACATTTAAGTCAGGATTCTAAGAAGCTGTTCTAAACTCGAAAATTTAGTTTCATATACACTGATATTATATATATATTTGCATAAAAAATTAATACATGTGAGCCATGTTTCAAATAGTTGAGAGATTATTATATCAAAGATTCTTGATTATATAAAATGCCAGTTACTTATAGGCACACGTGCTTTAAATAATTACAAAGGCAGTTGTGGTTGATTCTACTCTTGCTACTGGCATTTATATGGACATAATATTATGGTCTGAAGAATATTTAGGCATATTTATTCCTCATATGATTAGAAGAACAATGCAAGATAGTTTATATCTGAAAGGAAAAAAATCTTTATATGGTTCTGAAAGCGTAAATCATTAACAATTTGGATAATAATTAGCATAAAAATACACAAACATGCCCTCTTCCTATCTGTAAGTACAAAGTGACAACAGAATCAAAGCATGTGGCTATGTGCATGTTTATATTTCAAGACGCAGAGCACCCTATTCCTCTTCTCTGCCCTTTCTAGTTGGCACAATTCCTCATGAATCTAAGTGCAGCCATAGGGTGGATTACGGTGACCTGCCATTTGTATGGAACTGATCTCTATTTTGGAAGTAATTAATGTAAAAATATATTTTTAAAAGATAAGTTCAAATTTCAGGGCAAACTAGCATGGTTTCACCCCTTTTCTTTGTAACATTTTTTCTAATGTTGGAAAAGTAAGATAGGCTTTAGTACGATTTTAAATAATAAGTTTTCAAAGTGAGACGCAAAATGGTGGCGCCAACACATTTCAAATCTGCTACATTTTGAATACACTTATTGGAGAAAAGACCTTCTCATCATTTTTCTCTTACAGGAAAGGAAATAACATGTACAGTTGACCCTTAAGCAACACGGAGGTTGGGGTGCTGGCCCCCCTGCACAGTAGAAAATCCACTATAACTTTGACTCCCCCAAAACTTAACTACTAATAGACTACTCTAAGCCTTACAAATAACACAGTCAATTAACCCATATTTAATATGTTATATGTCTTATATACTGTATTCTTAACATGCCAGAGAAAAGAAAAAAGAAAATCATAAGGAAAATATATTTACTAATTATTAAATGGAAGTAGATGATCAAACAGGTCTTCATCCTCATCCTTTCCATGGACAGGGTGTGGATAAGGATGTAGAATTGTTGGTTTTTCTAAGTGGACGTGCACAGTTCAAACCCCTGTGGAGCAAAGGCCAACTGTATAGCCATTGAATAGTAATTTATTTTTAGAAATTAACCACACTAAAATACTCTTAGAAGGATGCCAAGAAAAAAAATGAATAAGTATTTTTCATCTATTTCATCATTTCATTTCATTATTTCATTTCATCATTTCATTTCCTCATTTCATCTCATTTCATTTCATTTCATTTCATCCTTTCATTTCATCATTTCATCTCGTCATTTCATCTCATTTTATCATTTCATCTCATTCTTTCATTTCATCATTTCATCTCAACATTTCATTTCATTTCATCTTTTCACTTCATCTCATCATTTCATCATCTCATGATTTTATTTCATCTCATCATTTCATTTCATCTTTTCATCTCATCATTTCATTTCATCTTTTCATCTCATTTCATTTCATCAATTCATCATTTCATCTCATCTCATTTCACTTCATTTCATTGTTTCATTTCATTTCATCATTTCATTTCATCACTTCATCTCAACATTTCATTGCGTCATTTCACTTCATCTCATTTCATCATTTCATCTCATGATTTCATTTCATTTCATCATTTCATCATTTCATTTATTTCATCATTTCATCATTTGACGTCATGTCATCTCATTTCATATCATTTCATCATTTCATCTTTTCATTCCATCATTTCACTTCATCATTTCATTTCATCATTTCATTTCCTCATTTCATCATTTCATTTCATCCTTTCATCATTCCATCTCATCATTTCATCGTTTCGTTTCATTATTTCATTTCAGCATTTCTTCTCATTGTTGCATTTCGTCATTTCATTATTTCATCATTTCACTTCATCTCATCATTTCATCTCATGATTTCATCTCATCTCATTTCATCTTTTCATCTCATCATTTAATTTCATCATTTCATTTCATCTTTTCATCTCGTCATTTCATTTGATCATTTCATTTCATCAATTCATTTCATCATTTCATTTCATTATTTCATCATTTAATCAT
Source organism: Homo sapiens (assembly GCF_000001405.40). Lineage (NCBI taxonomy): Eukaryota > Metazoa > Chordata > Mammalia > Primates > Hominidae > Homo > Homo sapiens. The sequence continues at coordinate 133,157 of NT_187380.1, forward strand.
TTAACTTCATTTCATCATTTCATCATTTCATATCATTTCTTCATTTCACCATTTGATCTTCTCATTTCATTTCACTTCATCATTTCATCATTTCATTTCCTCATTTCATTTCACCATTTCATCATTTCATCATTCCATTTCATCATTTCATTACATTTCATCATTTCACTTCATCTCATCATTTCATCTCATGATTTCATTTCATCTCATCATTTCATCTTTTAATCTCATTTCATTTAATCATTTCGTTTCATTACACCTTTTCATTTCATTTCATCATTTCATTTCATCATTTCATATCATTTCCTCAATTCATCATTTCATCTTTTCATTTCATTTCATCATTTCATCATTTCATTTCATCATTTCACTTCATTATTTCATTTCATTTCACCATTTCATGTCATCATTTCATCATTTCATCATTTCATTTCATTTCAGTGATACATGTATTTAAGTGCTAATGCGATGCCCAGGAGACACCCTATTTCCCTTTGTAAAACACCTCCTTCAACAAAAGGCAACTACTCATGGCTGGCTAAGTCTACAGGGACACCAGCCTCTCTTCAACCACCCAATTTCATTTAGAACCTCAAACAGCACCTCAGTTTCATAAAAACCTAAAACATAAACACAACACTTGGTTGTAAGTGAGCCAACAGTTATCTCTTTCTCTGCTCAAGGCTTAAGGCCATGTCTCCCCAACTACATTCAGTGGAAGAAAAGATCCCCTGGACAAATAAGTTTGAGAATTGTTGTTGCAGGAATTCTCAGAACCTTCAAAACACAAATCCTCATCCGCAGGGATCTTCAGGAGGGAGATGGCTGATGCAGCACAACTTTCTTTCACAGGAGTACCTTGCAGAATACAGTATGAGATACAGAAAGGCTGCATTGAGTCTTTTTAATGGCCCGGGCCTTGGTGGGGGTGGGGTAGGAGCTCTGAGTAGGAACATTCAGGTGGCTTTTTTTTTCTCCTTATTGGCAAAACTGTGTGTACACCATGAATGAAGCTGGTCTCCCTTATCCATATCAAAACTAAATCCAAATTAATTGGCTAAATTGGGACTCAACACCTCCAGGAGCCACGCGGCAGAAAGCCCCAACACACTTTGAATTAGCTCACCTCATCATATTTGAGGAAAGCAAAACGCTTATGACCAGTGTGCTGCTAATACAAGTCTACAGATAATGCGGTATGAAAAACTAGTTTTCCCAATCATAGCTGGCATAGTCCACATTTTGCATTACACTTTTCCCCCTTTTTTTAAATTTTAAACACAGGTCTTTCTCTCTTCTTTTTTTAAATTTTAATTAAATTATACAAGACGAGTCTCAGTATGTTGCCCAGGCTGGTCTTCAACTCCTGAGCTCAAGCGATACATCCGTCTCCACCTCCCAAAGTGCTGAGATTACACGCCTGATACACTGTGCCTGGCCTTAAACACAAATCTTAATTCATTCTTACAATTATTCTGAGGTTACAAAAATGGAAGGGGAAGAAAAATGGCAAGCAAATAGGCTGACTTTGGCTTCATTATTTGGAAGGACAGTTTGCTCCGTTAAAACACACTACTGCCTACAAAGGCCAAGACAACAGAAAAATACAGACTTACATAAATAGATTTTATATGTGACAGCAGTTTGAACGGAGACTTTTTCAATGCAATGAGAAACAGCTGTGCTTGGGAATAAATGACAACGATTTTTTTTTATCTCAGCTGTCCTGAGAGCATGTCTCTACATCTCTACCTGCATTCTGGAATCAGGGAGAAAGTCAAAACGGACAAGACACTAGATCAGCCGTGTCCAACCCTTTGACTACAAGGACTTTTCCGCCTATCTGTGGTGGTGGGTATCATGAAAATTATGCAAAAACCTTTTGTTTTTTTTTAAGCTCATCAGCTGTTGTTAGCATTAGTGTATTTTATGTGTGGCCCAGGAGCATTCTTCTTCCAATGTGGCCCTAAGAAGCCAAAATACTGGACACCTGTGCACTAGATCAAAAGGCTACTCCTTCTGGAAGCAACTGTAAAGAATTTCTGACATTATCTTGACATGAAAACCAATAGATAGTGGGACAGAATGCAAAATCTTCAAGAATTTTTCCTGTCTTTTTTTTTTTTTTGAGTCACGGTCTTGCTCTGTGGCCCAGGCTGGAGTACACTGGTGAGCTCACAGCTCAGTGCAGGATCAAGTGCTCCTCCCACCTCAGCCACAGTAGTAGCTGGGACTACAGATGTGCACAACCACCCCTGGCTAACATTTTATTTTTTGTAGAGACAGGGTCTCTCTATATTGTCCAGGTTGGTCTCAAACTCCTTGACTCAAGGGATCCAGGACAGGATAACAGGTGGGAGCCACCACACCTGGCCATGTGCATGAACTTTTAAGACAAACAAAAGGCCCCACAAAAGTTAAGGTTTTTCCACCTAATTTCCAGGGGATCTTTTGGTGCAAGGATGAGAAACCCTTAAAAGTACACAGACAACTCCAAAGATTCAAGACAGTTCATTCGGGCTGAGCCAGCTCACTGGGCAGACTGACCTTCAAAAAAGGCCCACCCATGACATACACCAGATGGCTCTACAAGAATCTCTTCAGTCCTCAGGGTCCCTAAGATACTGGACAGAGATAGGAAAGCAAACCCATTTGCTTCTTCCTGCAGGAAACCCCTTGAGGTCAAGACCCCACAATCAGACAAGGATGGAGTGGCTCACCCTCAGTAAACAGGCCAAACTCAAGGTGGTATAATGTCTTAACCAAGAGTGTGGGCCTCCAGGTCTGACTCCCATCTGAGTTCTCCTTTAATAACCACACTTTGATAATTCTCCTTAACAGGGGTTCCTGGCAAGTCAGTTCTTCCTCAGGCCTTCGGTTTCCTCACCTACAAGATGAGAGGGCTGGACCAGATGGAAATTCAGGGTGGAAGGGGATGTCCGCGCACAACCCACCACCCCCCCCGACAGGACCCTGGACCCTCCATCCCAGTTCCCACCAGGCACCCGCCCCACAAATGGCGCTCAAGGTGAGGGCTGGTCCCGGGTCCTCCTGCTGCCGCATCAGCGAATGCATGAGGGACGGGAAGACTCCAAGGGCGCAATGCAGGCTCAAGGATGCAACTGGGCCAGGCGTGAACTGGGGCCCCGAGGGAGGTGTCTGAGCTCCTCCTGGAGCCCAGCCCGGGTCCCCGAACCCGTTACCTCCAGGGTCGGTATCTTCTGCTGGGTGAGGTCGTTCGACACAGCGCACTTGGTGCCCAGCCAGCAAAGGCTGCCAATGAAGATGCCAATGAGCTTCTGGAGCTGCCCGCGGCCCCTGCGCCACCTTCCGCTAATGCCGCATCACCCCCGCCACCACCCTCCTTCTTCTCTCCCATCGCCTCTGCGCGCAGCGCCGCTCTATGCAGGCCACAGAGGCCGAGGCAGGGAGCCCGGGGCGCCGGCGCCTAGGCAAAGAACCCCCGACCCAGGAGAGCTGTACCAGGAGCGCCCCTCGGCGCTGCCCTTGCCAGGACGCCAGTGGAGCTAGCAGCCGAGTCTGCCGCTCCTGCCCTCAGAGCCGCAGCACCGGGGGAAAAATCCTCCGCGGCGGGGGTAAAAATCCGCGGCGGTGGCAAAAAGCCGCGGGAGTGGGGGCAAAAAAAAACACAAAAAGCCGTGGCGGCGGGGGTAAAAAGCTATGGCGGCAAAAAGTCTCAGCGGCGGGGACCAAAAAACCGCGGAGGCGGGGGCAAAACGCCGCGGCATCGGGGGAAAAAGCCACGGCGGTGGGGGCTGATAGCTCCCGCGGCAAAAAGCCGCGGCGGCAAAAAGCTCGGGCGGTGGGGGAAAAAGCCGCGGCGGCGTGGGCAAAAAGCCGCAAAAAGTAGTGGCGGCGGGGGCAGAAAATCGCTGCGGTGGGGGCGAAAACCCACGACTGGGGGAAAAAGCCGCGGCGGCGGGGACAAAAACGAGCGGCACGGAGCAAAAAGCCGCGTCCGCAAAACCCGCGGCGGTGGGGGAAAAAGCTGCAAAAACAGCGGCGACAGGTGCAAAAAGCCACGGCTGCGGAGGTAAAAATCCGCGGCGGCGAGGGCAAAAAGCCGCGGCGGCGGAGTCAAAAAGCCTCGGCGGCAAAAACCCGCGGTGGCGGGAGCAATAAGCCGCGGGGGCAAAAAGACGCAGCGGCCAAAAGCCGCGCAGCGGGGAGTAAAAAGCCGCGTCGGCAAAAGCCGCGGCAGCGGGGAGTAAAAAGCCGCGTCGGCAAAAGCCGCGGCGATGGGGGTAAAAAGCCGCGTTAGCAAAAACCGCGGCGGCGGGGAGCAAAAAGCCGCCGCGGTGGGCGCAAAAAGTCGCCGCGGCCAAAAAGCCGTGCCGGTGGCGGCGGCGGCAAAAAGCCGCGGCGTCGGGGACAAAAAGCCGCGGCGTTGGGGGCGGGGGCAAAAAGCCGCGGCGGCGCGGGCCGAAAGCATCGGGGGCAAAAAAACACAAAAAGCCGCGGCGGCGAGGGAAAAAACCCGCGGCGGCGGGGGCAAAAAGCCGCGGTGGCAAAAAGCCGCGGCGGCGGGAGCAAAAAGCCGCGGCGGTGGGGGTAAAAAATCACGTCGGCAAAAGCCTTGGCGGCCGGGGCAAAAAGGCGTGGCGGTGGGCGCAAAAAGTCGTGGCAGTGGGGTTAAAAAGCCGCGTCGGCAAAACCCGCGGCGGCGGGGGAAAAAGCTGCAAGAAGCCGCGGCGATGGGGGCAAAAAGCCGCGATGGCGGGGGCAAACAGCCCCGGCGGCAAAAACCGGCGGCGGCGGGAGCAAAAAGCCACAGCAGCAAAAAGCCGCAGCGGCGGGGCGCAAAAAGCCACGTCGGCAAAAGCCGTGGCGGCGGGGGCAAAAAGCCGCGGCGGCGGGGAGTAAAAAGCCGCGGTGATGGGGGTAAAAAGCCGCGTTGGCAAAAACCGCGGCGGCGGGGCGCAAAAAGTCGCCGCGGCGGGGCGCAAAAATCCGCGGCAGCGGGGGGTAAAAAGCCGTGTCGGCAAAAGCCGTGGCGGCGGGGACCAAAAGCCGCGGCGGCGGGGTCAAAAAGCCGCAAAAGCCGCGGCGGCGGGGGCAAAATACCGGGGCGGCAAAAAGCCCCGGCGGCGCGGGCAAAAAGCCGCGGTGGTGGGGGCAAAAACCATCTGGAGCGGGGGCAAAAAAAGCCGCGAGGGCGGCGGCGGGGGGAAAAAGTCGCAAAAAACACCGGCGGCTGGGGTAAAAAGCCACGGCGGCAAAAAGCCTCGGCGGCGGGGGCAAAAAGCCGCGTTGTCAAAAGAGTGGCGGCGGGGGCCAAAAGCCGCGGCGGCGGGGACTGAAACCCATGGCGGCGGGGGCAAAATACTGCGGCGGTAAAAAGCCATGGCGGGGACAAAAAGCCACAAAAAGAGCCTTTTTAGGGAAAAGTGCAATTGCTAACATCTGAATAATATATTAAGGATGCCAATCTAAAATTTGCTAATAGCATCATATTTACAAAATAATAACTATTAACATGAGAAGGAATGTAATATTTAATAATTAACATTATATTACAATTCTGAGAATTCTGATCAATGCAATAAAATATCAAGAAGAAATAATTCGAAAGAGGTGATAACATTATTTACAAATAGTACAAGAATAAGGAACCTTAAAATGATCATTTTCTATAATTTGTTATAGTAAATTGTTAAAGTCTACCTTAGGAAAGTAACACTAAGAGAAAATGTTAACAAAAATATCTTTGGAGTTATTTATGTTAACAAAATTTGGAAAAGCCTAAATATTTAGCTAGAAGGAAACGGTACATTGATATAGACTGGCATTAAACTTAGTTTCTTGATTTGATTAAACTTAGTTTCTATGAGACATTTGTATCATTCAAAGTTGTATGTATAGACACTGACTGAAACACAAAGTGGGTCATAATATTGAATATGTGATGTAATGGCAACCATGAAGAAAATATCAGAGAACCAAATGGAAGGAAAAGAACAGAACCTGAATAATGATTACCTTTGGACAGTGGGATCTTAGTTCCTTTTACTCTTCCTACTAATTTAAAATTTGCAAATTTATTACCTTCAGAATTTGAGAATACGTTATATTTATAATTAGAAAACATAAAATGAGTGCTAAATAAACAAATATACCAAATTCTGTTTAGAATTCACTTCCCCAAGAAACTTTCTTTGATTAATCCCACTGGCATTGATCATTATTTTATATGGCACCCCCATACTTATGTATTCAGTTTCTACCAAATTAATTTTCATGTTTTAAAAAATCAATTTATAAGCATAATTATGGCATTTCTACATTTATATAGTGTAGTCTCCAAACTGAATTATAAGCTTGAGGATATGAGGAACCACAGTGTATTTCCAATTATATTTATACAATAAATCATGTGGTACTTTTCACAGAGTGAATGTTGTTAACTTACTGAAGACCTGACGAAACAGGGGAAAGATGGCAATGTCTGACAAGAGGAACAGACGTGAAATAAAATCCAACATTCTGTGTAATTCTTATTGTCTCTTAACCCTACTTGTTGAATTACGAAAACTTCATATACAAAAATTTGAGCATTATACTCTTTAGCTGTACATTATCATTTCAAAACAAACTTATACATGGCTCTCACTATTACAATAGTCTTCCCACTGTAAAAACTTTTAAGCTGTAACTTTCTGCCATTACTACGTTACCTTCGTATTAGTTTATGCCATACTTCTTTCTGAGTTTCTGTCAATATTCATCTGAGGTATTTTTGTGTAAAAATTAGTAACAGGAAAATAGATAACTGCTTCCAATATGTAGAAGTCATTACTACAGCTTTGCCTATTAACACATACACACTATTTCTTCATGTCCCAGATGTTCAGGTATATGGGAATGAAACAATGAGTTGGAACCTCTTGATTCAGTTATTCTGGTGACAAACAATGTGTATAGCTCATTGACGATTGTTTAACCCTTGATAAAATGTGGCTGCAATTGTTACTTGCAGATGTAGCCACACTTAATTTCTTTTCTCCACTCCCCACTGCATTGTATTTGTTATTCTTGATATCAGAAATGTGTTAAGAAATATGCCACTAACTGGGTGTGCTCCCTATACAATTAGCTACAGAAAGAGGTGATAACTCATATTATTTACAAAGATTACAAGTATAAAGAACATTAAAATAATCATTTTCTATAATTTGTTATCAATTGTTAAGTTTATTTTAACAATTATCAATTAGCTACAGAACACGAGTAGTGTTTCTTACTTTAGCCTGATGTAAACATGTGATGCGGTAATATAGTGAAGAATATTACTCACTTCAGAGGATAGGGCTTTGGTCAAAAATTTTGAGAAACTCTTGAAAAAGGAAAAGAAAACCCCCCGTGATAGTAATACAATTCCAAAAGCAAAAGGAGAAAAAATGTAAATGTATTAAATCAAAAAATATTTTAAGGTAAGGCAAAAGTAGGTACAGAATGGTGAGTCACATACAAATTGTGAAAGTGAGTAATGGCCCAGAAATCAAAGGAGAGGGAAAAATATGGTAGGTGAATATGGTTGCAATGCTAATTAAAAAAATGTTATTAGCAGCTAGCTCAATTCAAGCTTTGAATAAATAGAGTGTTTATAACAGTATGCTTAATCTACTGGTGCTAATATTAAGATAATTGTTGAAATATACTTAAAAGAAGTTAGTGAAAGCAGAGAATGAAAGACTATTGAACTTTTCTGGTTTATTGTGTAAAAATTTGCCTGTATCCAACATACAGGCACAAAAATAAAATACTGGAAATAGAGAGCAAATCTTGGCCATTCAAATGAGAGTCAGCTATTAATTCTTTGGCCATAGGCTGTACTCCTACAAGCAAACTACGGCTAAAATATGCGATTCAATACAGATACTCATTTTTCAAGTGTTTACAACCTGTTTGAGTCCATTTGGACTGCTGTAACAAATTACCTTAGACTGGGTAATTTATAAACCAAATTTATTATTCTCAGTTCTGGGGGTTGGGAAGTCCAAGATTTAGGTGCCAGCAGAGTTGTTACCTGGTGAGGTTTGTTTCTCAAACTTACTGCTGCATCTTCACTTGGCATAAGGACAAAAGGGGCAAAGTAGCTCCCTATGGGTTCTTTTATAAGGGGACTAACCCATTCATGATGGCTCCCCAACCCCCTTAACCTACTCACATCCCAAAGACCGCCCTTATTTATTTATTTATTTATTTATTTATTTATTTATTTATTTTTTGAGATGGAGTCTTGCTCTGTTGCCCAGGCTGGAGTGCAGTGGCACAATCTCAGCTCACTGCAACCTCTGGTTCCCAGGTTCAAGCAATTCTTCTGCCTCAGCCTCCCGAGTAGCTGGGATTACAGGCGTGTGCCACCACACCTGGCTAATTTTTGTATTTTTAGTAAAGATGGGGTTTTACCATGTTGGCCAGGCTGGTCTTGAACTCCTGACCTCATGATCTGTCCACTTCGGCCTCCCAAAGTGCTGGGATTACAGGTGTGAGCCACTGTGTCCAGCCTGGCCTCACATCTTAACACCAACATATTGGGAATTAGATTTCAATATATGAGTTTTGGAGAGATATAAACTTTAGGCCCACAGCACAAACCAAGGATGAATGTATGAGGCACCTGTCAAAATACACATTTGAAAAGATCAGAACGTCTGCAATGCCAAATGAATTACATTTGTAGAGGTAAATTCTAACAATGAAATGAGAAGAACTGCAAACAGAAGGAATCACAGAGAGAACCATTTAATTTTAACATTGAGGAAAAACTTTGAATGTGGGTTCCATCCAATTGTACAATAACTCAATGTACACAGCATCAACACTTTTAAAACATTGAGATAAAATATTTTTGGATTTTATCAAATTTGATGTAATGCTAGAAGAAGAATTCATACTTCGAAGGGGCTGTGATAAATTAAAGGATTTATTTAGTTCTGTTTGCACTTGCTACATGCTGTTTCCAATACGAATATTTTCACAAGATTTACATGTCTAATACATGAGTTGGCTCCTGACCTTGAAGCAATTGTTAGCAATAGATACACTGGTAAAAAAAATTATCTTCTGCTGTCCTGCATGACCATGGACATGGACATCTTAGTATTTATGCATAATAAAAACTTTCAGTTCAGCTTAGTAAATATTTATTGACAATGTGCTAATCATGAGGAGGACTGTGGATAAAGGTGGATGATAAAGATAAATTTAAGTTGGGAAAACTACCACCACTACATCTACAAGGGCTGAAAGTATATACAAGTCAGAAGCACACAGAAATCACTGAACCACAAAGTAAATGGCCGTAAGTGCTGTTATATACCCAAAGCATGTCCTACTTATATAGTCCTTTAAATGGATAAATAATACATTAATTCTGACGGGGAAGGGAGAAAGTTTCTAGGAATAGTTCTTTAAAAAGTTGCATCAGTTTTGATTAATACATAGGAAGAGACTGTTACAGAAGAAGAGCTAGCTAACAGAAGACCTAGCATCATTTTATTCTTGCACAATATCAGGGAACCCAACAGTTTTGTCAGCAGTAGCTACTTTTAGTTTCCTTGGATACTTGAGATCATCTGGGAAGATTGTGGTAAGTAAGGCTGCTGATGAAGACTTTGATTAAGAAAGGATTTATCAGGAGCTGGGCACAGTCGCTCATGCCTGTAATCCCAGCCATGTAGGAGGATGAGGCAGGAAGACTGCTTAAATCCAGGAATTAGAGATTAACCTGGGCAATATAGCCAGACCACCTTCTCTACAAAAATAAAAAAACAATTAGATGGGCATTATGGCACATGCCTGTGGCCCCAGCCATTGGGGAGACTGAGGTAAAAAGATCACTTGGGCCCAGGAGTTTGAGGCTACAATAGGTTGTGATTGTGATGGCAGTGGCTGCTGCCATCATGCCAGATGCAGGGGAGAGGTGTGGCCGGGGTTGTATGCTCCCTGGATTTGGCAGGATGAGGACAAGTGGGAGCCCTGCCCTTCCGAGTTGGAATGGGAGCTCCCTGGGTGCTGCTGCAGCTGCCCAAACTGCAGCTGTAGCTGTAGACCTGGACCTCCCACTCCATGGAGCAGATGGGAGTTTATCCAACTCCCCTACTCTGTCCCCACCCCAGCCCACCACCCAGCCACCCAAACCAATGCTGCAGACTCAGGCATCCCTGCACTCTTGGGGAGCCTGGGAACGCCCCCCTTGCCCCTTGCAGGCTTGGAGGCACCTCTTCCTGCTGCCTGGTCTCTCCCACCTCCTGGCTCTGTGCTCTGATCTCAGAGTGGGGTTGGGACCCAGCAGGGTGCTGTCACTGCCCAGCCAGGTGTGCACAAATTGGAAGCAGTGCCGACATGCCAGTCCCCTGCCACCTCAGTCCCTTCTGGACTTTGGACACTGAGAAGCAGGAGCATGGGAGGGGAAGATGAGGGGGTCCGAGGGTGGCTTGGCACTGGCCTGCAAGTGCCCCTTGATGCCAGCAGCCTGGGTGCCATGGATGGTTGTGGGAGGCAGACAGGCTCCTGGGTGGAAGGTGATGGGTCCCCAGTGAAGCCCCACCTGCAGGCTAGGCTGCCAGTCCTGCAGACTGGAGGCAAAACTCATGGTGTTTTTCCTGGGCCCGCCCATGGCTGCCCATGGACCAATGGGCATACATTTCCTCCCCTCTGACATCCATAAAAGCCCAGGACTCAGCCAGAACAGGGCAGAGGGCAGAGGAGGGAAGAATAGAGGCAGGAAGGAGCTATCCTTTCTGCTGATAGCTGGAGACAATGGGAGGGCCAGCTGTTTTCTCTGCTGAATGCTTCAGAGACCTGCAGAGATGTCTGGGAACTACCAGCTGCAGACAGGAGCAACCCTCTCCAGGGTTTCCCTTTCTCCTGAGAGCTGAACACTTGACAGAACAACCTAGGGAGGAGCTACCCACTATGGGTCTCCTCTGAGCTGTTCTAACACTTAATAAAGCTCCTCTCCTTTAACCCTTCACTTGTCTACCTACACCATTTTTCCTGGAAGCAGGACAAGAACTCGGGCAAAGATGCCACCAACCACAGTTTCCAAACCAGAAAATCGACACCCCAAAGATTCCGTAACAATTGCACAACTGCACTCCAGCCTAGGTGACAGAGTGAGACCCTGACTCTTAAAAAAAAAGAAAAAAAAAAAAGAAATTATCCACAATTTATTAGATAAGACTGTTAATAGCTTCTAATTGTGATACCTTCCCGTTTGAAATGGAAGGCATGGAAGTTAACACCAGGTCAGTTTTCCCAAAGTTATAACCCTGCTTTTGGCCTCTTTCAGCTCCAGTCAGACATTAGCAATGCTCAGTTACCTTCAATATTAAGCTGGTCCTGACATGAAACTGGCAGCATTTGAGAACACTGACCCAGACTTGAAGGTAGATCTGGAATTAGGATTGCTGCTTTAAGCCCAGTATCAAGGTATACAATGAACCATGCATTTCTCATAAGCCAAATTTAGTGGATTTTTTCCTATAATTCTGAGGATAACTTTGCCTTGATTATATATTAAAACAATTCATTTGCTGTATCTTCATTACTGTCCCAAATGTTTTGGGTTGACATACTGATGTTAGCTAGTGGTTTTGGTCTCAAGTTTCAGTAGCTGCTCCAATGTAAAATGATCACACATAAATCTTAGGTTTTTACTCATATGATACCTTGTCTGATACTATCTTTATCTATCAAATAAAGGGTTTAGTATTTTCTTAGTCAATGTGGGCTGCTATAACGGAAAACACAGATTGAGCGAGTAAAACAATAAACATTTGTTTTTCACAGATCCGTAGGCTGTAAATCTGAAATCAGGGAGTCAGCATGGTTGGGTTCTCGGTGAAGGCTGTCTTCCTGGTTTACAGATGGCTGTCTTATTTTATCCTCACATGGAGGAGAGAAAAATCTCTCTTGTATCTCTTTCTAGAAGGGCACTACTTTCCTTTGGTGAGGGTTTCATCTTCATGACCTAATTACCTCCCAAAGGTTTACCTCCTAATACCAATACATTGAGAGTTAGGATTTCATCATATGAATTTGAGGGATTTGCAGTCCATAATAACTACCAATGTCAACTCAGTTCAAGCTTGAATTTGTTTTGCTTTGGGTGACAAATCTCTAACTAATTTGAATTCATCTTTCCCCAGTCTGGTTCAGTGTTGTCTTCTTTCTCCTTCACCACCAACAGTTAGCAAGATGTCAGTTTTACTTGAGGCTAAGTATGTTTTAGTTATCACAATAGAGAACCCTGTAAGCTATATCTTAGTTTCCCCTTTCATAATATTTTTCATTATGGAAAAAATACATTCTAAACATTGTTCCTATTCTAAGAAACTTGGCTGCATCTTTGCAACAAAAATAATGTGGACATTTACCAAATACAGCTGTAGAGAAAGGTAAAATCATTGCTCTGAATTATTCATAAAATCACAGAAATTAGGGACAAACACTAAATAAGAATGAATTATTCAGTGACCCGAAACAGATATTTTCTTTAGTTTCTCATGTAATTTGAAATGTACCGCAATTTACATCCTGAGTGTTATAAACATATGATGTTTCTCTTTTAGTGAAAAGCACCCATCAGAACTTGTTAAACAAATGAGTTTTTTTCTCTTCCCATCTCTAAAAGCATTTTTGATACCTACACATCTACAAATATGTTTTAATAGACCTAAACTCTATATGATGTCATTTTCCCCTTGAGTACCAGAATATATATTTAGTCCTGTAGAATTATTTAGCTCTCAGGTGCTGAGTTACTATTTCCCAGGAGTTGCATTGCCCAAAGTACTGTGGACATTTTTCTCATTTTAAATTTCACCTCACATGGTCCTTTGGTTTTGTTACATTTTGTACCTGTTTTGATTGTTTTTTTCCTCTCTATGAAAATTAGTTGCCAAGTAAGGAGAAAAAGTATTGCTGTTTTTCCTTATTCAAAAATTATGGTAGATGAAAAAAATCTGATTAAATAACTCTATTACAGTCTTTCTCAACTTTTTACTGAGATAAACTTGAAGGCACTGAAAAGGTGAAATTTTCAGCTATTGAAAATTTAGAATGTAGGACATCATGCCGAGATTTGAGGAAACCTATCAATAATTTAGCAAGGGATGGTAGTAGATACACAAAAAGCAATTAGAAGCAAAAAGGCCTTGGATTCTTTTCATGTTAAAGAAAATACATTCTGAAAGTAAGTACAAAGACCCTTTGTATTTCCTTCATAACCTGTTCCCTAACAGAATACCAGGACCTATGCCAAGGGAAAAACTGTGTAGATGTGTTTTTCTCTTCTGGTGCTGATATGGTCATAGGATGGGGATGCTCTCTCTTTGCTATTTCTCTAACCAATCTTATTACTATATCAATTAATATCAAAACATTTCAAGTCTAGTTACTGACAAGAGAGTAAACTAGAGAGGACTCCTGACTCATAACAAGGATTCAGATCTAGAGTTCTCATAGAGTGAAGAGATTATGTTTGCAACTGAGAAACGAATGTAAAAACTGTAAGGAATCCCTGGAGAGTCTGAAAGTCCCTGAGCCCTGATACAGAGAGCAAATGGCAGTTTAAGGCTGACCACCTCTCATTCCCTCCACTATTTCTCACATAAGAATATTACAGTACACTCTTCACTGCTCTCTCTGCTTCAAGCTTTCCCTTCCACCTCTCTATTCCACAGAGAAGGTAGAATGCTCCTCTTAAAATACAAGGTGGATTATTTTACTCATCTGCTTAAAAACTTTTCAATGGCTTCTCATCTCATTCTGAATAAAATTCAAAGTGCTTTCCAGGCTTACAAGTCCCTGTACGATCCTGAGCCTTGACAATATCTCTGACAAAATCTCCAGCCTCCCATTGGTCACTCCTGCTCTATCACAGTAGTGTACTTGCTGCTGTTTTGAAATATAGAAAGCATGATTTTACTTCAGTGTCTTTATCCTTGTTATTTTCTCTGCCTGCCTTTTTCTGTGTCTTGGGCATTCCATATGACTCATCTCCTCATTCCCCTTAGTCCTTTTTCCATGTGGCATTTGAATACAGAAATCTTCACTATCTAAAATTATACTCCCATATCCATAACTTCTTTTATTGCTCTAGATATCCTTACAGCATTTATCATTACCATTTATTAGCTTATTTGTCTTTCCTTACTAAAATGTAAACTAAATACAGACAGAAATTTTTGTAATTAAAAAACACATAACAAAAAAATCTACCATCTTAACAAAATTTTAAGTTTGCAGAACATTTTGTTAATGATATACACATTGTTGTACAGCAGAAATCTAGAATGTTTTTATCTTGCTTGACTGAAACTCTACACCTGGTGAACAGCAACTCCAGATTTCCTGTTTCCTCCAGGCCCTGACAACTACCATTTTATCTTGTGTTTCCATGTGTTTGGCTACTTTCAATACATCATATAAATGGAATCACGATATATTTGTGTTTGTGTCTGGCTTATTTCACTTAGCACAATATCCTTAAGATTGATACATGTTGAAATAAGACAGAATTTTCCTTTTGAAGGCTTACTAATATTCCATTCTGTGTGTGTATGTATATATACACATAAATATACCATATATATACACCATACATATATATGCCATACTATATTTATCATACATATATATATACACCATACATATATATACCATACATATATATACCATACATATATATATATATATATATATATACACACACACACATATATACCATATTTTCTTCATCTGTTCATTTGATGATGGACTTTTAGATTGTTTCTACTTTTTGGCTATTGTGAATAATTCTGTAATGAATATGGGAATGCAAATATCACTTCAAGATCTTGTTTTCAATTATTTTGGAATTATTCAATTATTTTGGAAAAATGCCCACAAGTGGGATTGCTGCATCATATGGTAGGTCTATTTTTTAATGTTTTGAGGACCCTCCATACTGTTTTCCATAGTGGCTCTACCATTTTACATTCCTACTGACAGTACATAAGGTTCTAATTCAATTTCTCCACATCTTCATCAACACTTGCTATTTTCTTTTTTTTAAAATGGTCATACAGTTATGAGGTGATAAATCCCGTTGTGATTTTAATTAGCATTTCCCTGATGATTAATGATGTTGAGTATCTTTTTATATCCCTGTTGGTCATTTGCATGTCTTCCTGAAAAATATCTATTTAAGAATTTGGCCATTTTAAAATTGGGTTATGTGTTTATTTGCTTTTGAGTTCTAGGTGTTTCTTATATATTTTGGATATTAAGCCCTTAGCACATATACGGTTTTCAAATATTTTCTCCAATTCTATAGGCTGCCTGTTCACTCTGTTGTTTCCTTTTTTGCACAGAAGCATTTTATCTTGATGTAATCACCCTAACCTATTTTTGCTTTTGTTGCCTGTGCTTTTGGTATCAAATCCAAGGAATTATTGCCACGACCAATGTGATAAAGCCTTTCTTTATGTTTTCTTGTAGTTTTACAGCTTTAGTTCTTACATTTAAGTCTTCAATCCATTTGGAGTTAACATTTGTGAACAGTTTTAAGATAACGGTTCACTTTCATTCTTTTGCATATGGATATCCAGTTTTCCCAACAATATTTGTTGAAGAAATTATCCTTTCTCCATTGTATAGTTTTGGCACCCTCGTCAAAGATCATTTGACTATATGCATGTGGGTTTATTTCTGGGCTTGCTTTCTTTCCTTCCTTCCTTCCTTCCTTCCTTCCTTCCTTCCTTCCTTCCTTCCTTCTTTCTTTCTTTCTTTCTTTCTTTCTTTCTTTCTTTCTTTCTTTCTTATTTCTTTCTTTCTTTTTGAGATGGAGTCTTGCTCTGTAACCAAGGCGGGAGTGCAGTGGTGTGATCTTGGCTCACTGCAACCTCTTCCTCCTGGGTTCAAGCGATTCTCCTACCTCAGCCTCCCAAGTAGCTGGAATTACAGGTGCCCATAACCATGCCCAGCTAATTTTTGTATTTTTTCATAGAGACGGGGTTTCACCATGTTAGCCAGGCTGGTCTTGAACTCCCGACCTTAGGTGATCTGCCCGCCTTGGCCTCCCAGTGGGCTTTCTATTCTGTTCCAATAATCCATTCTGTTCCATTCATCTATATGATTAGTTTTACATTAATATCACACTATTGCGATTGCTGTAGCTTTGTAGTATATTTCAAAGTCAGAAAATGTGAGGCCTCTAACTGTTTCTCTTTCTTAGGATTGTTTTGGATATTCAGGGTCCGTTGTGGTTCCATATGGATTTTAGAATTGTCCTTTCTATTTCTCTAAAATTATCATTGGAATTTATACAATTCCAAGGGATTACATCAAATCTGTAAATTTCTTTGGCTAGTATTAGAATTTAAAAATATTCTTTGAATTCACAAAAATGAGATGGCTTTCCATTTATTTGTGTCTTCCTTAATTTCTTTCAGCAATATTTTGCAGTATTCAGTGTACAAGTCTTTCCCCCACCGGCTAAGTTTATTCCAAAGTATTTTATTCAGTTTGATGCCATTGCAAATGGATTGTTTTCTTAATTTCCTTTTCAGAATGTTTGCTGTTTGTGTTTTTTTGAATCTTTACTTTGAATCCTGCAACTTTGCTGAATTAATTTTATTAGTTCCAAGAGCTTTTTGTTGAATCTTTAGGGTTTTTTTAATATATAAGATGATGTTTTCTGGGAATAGAAAAAATTTTACTTACTTCTTCCTTTCCAATTTGGATGCCTTTATATCTTTTTCTTGCTGAATTATTTTAGCTAGGACTTTATGTACTTCATAAAGGCGTCCTTGCCTTGTTCCTGATCCTGATCTTAGAAGAAGAGATTTCAGTTTTTCTTCATTAATATGGTGTGAAATGTGGGTTTTTACATATGGCCTTTATTCTGTTGGAATAATTTCTTTCTATTCCTATTTTTTCAAGTGTTTTTCTAACGAGAGAATGTTGAATTTCATCAAATGATCTTTCTCCATCTACGGAGATGAACACGTTATTTGAGTTATTTTGTTAATGTGGCATATTATATTGATTTGCACATGTTGAACCCTTCTTGCATTCCAGGAACAAATCCATCATAATTATGGTGGATGATACTTTATAGTGCTGTTGAATTCAATTTACTGGTATTTGTTGAGGATTTTGCATCTACATTCATTAGGAATATTTAATTTTTTTTCTTGTAGCACCATTGTCTGGCTTTGATATTAGGGTTATACTAGCTTCACAAAAAGAGTTTAGAATAGTTCTTTCTTCTTTAACTTTTTAGGAATGTTTGAGAAATATTGGCATTAATTCTTCCTTAAATGTTGGCAGAATTCTCTAGTAAAGTCATCTGCACCTGAGATTTTCTTTGTTGGAAGATTTTTGATTACTAATTTAAACACCTTACTAGCTATAGATTTGTTCATATTTTGTATTTCTTTTTGATTCAGTGTTGTTTGTTGTATATTTCCAGTAATTTGTTTTTTTCTAGGTTATCCAATTATTACCATAATAATTCACAGCAGTCTCTAATAATCTTTTTTATTTCTGTGGCATCAATTGCAATGTCTACTTTTTCATTTTTAATTTTATTTGGTTGAGTCTTTTCTCTTTTTAATTGCCATATTCCATTGTATAGTAATACCACAGTTTTTTTTTAATCTATTCACTTGCATTGGTTCTACTTTCTGGTTATAATGAAAATATGTGTGTGAAAATATCCTTTATTTGCTTAATTTTTATTATTTCCTTCCTTTTGCTGGGTTTGGGCTTGGTTCTTTTTTTTAGTTCCTTGAGTTGTAAAGTTAGGTTGTTTATTTGAGATCTTTCTTCTTTTTTAAGGTAGGCATTTATTGCTATAAATTTCCCTCTTTAGTACTGCCTTTGCTGCATTTCTAAGTTTTGCTATGTTGTGTTTTTTTATTTTTTTGTCAGCTTCTTTTCTAATATTCTTTTTGATTTCTTCTTTGACTCATTGGTTGTTCAATAGTATGTTGTTTAATTTCCATATATTTGTAAATGTTTCTGTTTTCCTTCTACTATTGAATTTTTGCTTCATCCTACTTTTGGTCAAAACAGGTTCTTGATTTCCTTTGTCTTAATTTTGTTAAGACTCGCTTTGTGACCTAACATTTGATCTATCCTGGAGAATGTGTCAGGATATGTCACTTTGCCAGATAATTTATATACCTCCATTTTTGAAGGGTTGATATTTGGAAACTTATTTTCTTCTTTTTATTAGGCCATGTTTCCCTGTTTCCTTGTGTGCCTTTTAATTTTGTGTTGTTATTCTAGGATTTGAAAAAAATAACCACTTCTCCTTGTCTTTACAGACTGGTTTTGCACTGGGAAATCCTTTCACCAGTCAGCCCAGTTAGAGATTCTGAAGTGTGTCAAATCTTTCTGTGAATGTATTGTCTCTGAAATTGTGTGTAAATTCTGAGAAAAATTTGCAGGTCTTTCTTCAGGAGCATGTAATCTCTTGCTCTCTTTGTTATCTATCTGTAGTACTGTAGGTTATCTGGAGTTGCTATAACCCCCTAGCTCTCTTTTGTTCTCAGCAGTCCTCAGACATGAAGAGTATCCGGTCAGACAGAAAACAGTCCATCAGGCTGACTGGGAAAAGTTGAAATTCTGGATGCACACTCCAGCTTTTTCCTTCTCCAAGGGGAAGCCAGGAGTTGAGGGTTTTGTCCCACTCATTGCATATTGATCCAGGGAAGGATGATATGATAAGTGAATGTATGCTAACCCAAACTTCCTCAACTCATTTATTCTTAATATCCCCAACCTGGAAAGCTTTCCTGTTAATGCTTAAATTCAGGCAAGACAGAAAACAATCACTTGGCAACTCCCCTGAAGTCTGAACACTGAATGTGTGTTGCAGTATTCTCTTTCACTTCTGTGGGGGAATCAGGAACTGTAGAGTATTCTCCCAAACTTGTTATACTGAGTCACCGGAGGAACGATGGTGATTGAGTGACAGTCCAAACTGTGGCTTTATCAGCAGGCATGCAATCTGGCATCCTTTCCTGTTAGCACTTAGATTCAGGGTAGATAGGTGCTAGTGCCCTCCCAAAAAGTCAAAATGTTGGACGTATGGTCTAGACTTTTCTTTCTCTCCCTAGAGATGAGCTGGGAGTTTGGAGCTTTCTCTCCATTGCGTTGTACTGCTGAGGGAGGATGAGTGAGTGCAACAAATTTACCTGCTGGTTTTGATGTGCCTGGCTTGAAGCCTACCAGGGAATCCAGAGTCTTTAAATTCTCCTCTGAACTTTTCACGAAGGGGATTTATCTGTGTATTATTATCGAGCTGGTGTCTCCTTGGAGAGGAGGGTGGAGGGGCTTTGAGGCTTTCTATTTCATCATCTTGCTGGTATCCTGACAGGAATTTTAAACTGGGCTCCTTTCCCCACATTGTTGGAGAATGGATCCTGGCTGGTTATAGGTACTCATGAAATACTGGATAAATTATTATTTATCATTTACTTACAAAAACTTAAAATTTTTATTATGGGAAATAAGTTTTTAATCACTATTAAAGTTTGCTGAAGCACTAATTCATTACTGTGAAAAGTGGGGAGGGGTATAAAAATCAAGCATTTGTCTACTTATCTTGTTTTTCCTGTCCAAACTGTGTTTTGGTGTAATCAATACACATTTGGGAGGAAATGTTCTTTTAGAAATTATTCCAGCTAATAAATGAAGAAAAAAATGAAAGAATGTAGTACCCTGTTATAACACCTAGTAAAATAATGGTTGAAACAAGTTTTCTAATGAATGCTAAAGCTATTAGTTGAAAAGTTGATGCAAACCTTTACTGTGGAAGAATGTAGCTGACATTAATTTCTTATCTGAATTACATTTTTTGAAACTTTATGACTCTTTGAATTTAAAAGGGATTTTGGTGTCATTATTTTTTCTTTTACAGTCTCTTTTTTCACATAAAAATCAACTATTAACTGATTGGTTTTATGGTCTTTTGGAAAGAGACTATATAAATTCTGATTTTTGTATGAAGATCTCTTTTACACTGTCAGAGGAAATTTTATCTCTGGTAAGCTCTGATTTCATCTTTCAATTTTATTTTGAATTTCTTTCTTTGTCTTTTGTCTTATCAGCACCTTGTTTAATTTAAAATAGATTCAGTGTCAACAAGGAGTTAAATCAGGAAACTAATTTATCCAGAAATGCAAATATTTTTGCAGATATTTTATCCTTTGTTTTAGATCCTTAATATGTAATTTCAAAAAATGAAATATGGACAGTTTGCTTGATTTCTGAGCATAGTCAATGAATAATTTTACCAAAATAAGCAAACATTTTTCGAGCTTTTTTTTTTTCCTTGAGACTGCGTCTTGCTCTGTCACCCAAGTTGGAGTAGGGTGGTGTGATCTTGGCACACTGTAAACTCTGCCTTCCACGTTCAAGCAATTCTTCTGCCTCAGCCTCCTGATTAGCTGAGATTACAGTTGCCCACCACCACACCCAGCTAATTTTTTTTTTTTTATTATTAGACACGGGGTTTCATCATGTTGGCCAGGCTAGTCTCCATCTCCTGACCTCAAGTGATCCGCCCACTTCGACCTCCCAAAGTGCTGGGATTACAGGCATAAGCCACCACGCCTGGCCTGGAGCATTTTGATATAATGAATTACTGATGAAACCTTTTAATATAATGTTAGACAGCCCATTTAAAAATAATCCAGTATA
This sequence comes from Homo sapiens, assembly GCF_000001405.40. Lineage (NCBI taxonomy): Eukaryota > Metazoa > Chordata > Mammalia > Primates > Hominidae > Homo > Homo sapiens. The sequence goes on from NT_187380.1 coordinate 153,881, forward strand.
ATTATTATGTTCTTTATATGACTACATTTCACAGTGAAGTAACTTAGCACTCTGTATTTATAATGCTTTGAAAATACATATTAGTTGCTGATTTTATATTCCAAACAGAAATTATAGGACATCTTATTATATAAACACAAGAATTCAATATCAATTTTCACACTTTAAAACAATAGTCTTGGCCCTGCGCGGTGGCTTGCGCCTGTATTCCCAGCACTTTGGAAGGTGGAGGCAGGCGGATCACGAGGTCAGAAGATTGAGACCATCCTGACTAACAAGGTGAAACCCCGTCTCTAATAAAAATAAAAAAAAAATAGCCTGGCGTGGTGGCGGGTGCCTGTAGTCCCGCTACTAGAGAGGCTGAGGCAGGAGAATGGCACGAAGCCAGGAGGCTGAGCTCGCAGTGAGCCGAGATGGCGCCACTGCACTCCAGCCTGGATGACACAGCGAGACTCCGTCTCAAAAAAAAAAAAAAAAAACTTTTCAATTTTTAAAATTTTTCTCAAACTACCCATCAGAGAAGTTTAACATCTCCATTTACATTTCTATGATGTTATACAGAAATATTTTATTTCTCTCCCCAGAATAATATAGGCAAAATCTCTCCCTCTGACTATACACACCTGGTATTGTTACTTTAATTGTTTAAGGATTTCTATCTCTTCCTATTCTGAATGATTACTCTCTTTTTGAGCTTTCTTGCAGTAACCGTTTTAAATAGTCTCTAGACAACTTTCTGGATTCTAGGATCCACATTAATCTTCCTGCCATTGCACTTTCTGTCTTCTCCAAGAGTCTAGCTTTTATGAGAACAAAATAGTCATATCTTCTTTAGAGAAGAGTTTCCAGTGTAAAGACTAAAAGTTTAAGTTAATTGTAAATGAAAGACTCCAGTTAGAGGAGAAAATATTTCATTTTCAGATGACTGTTTCAGAACACAATTACTATATTGAAGACGACTCTCACTATAGCCACAATAATTACATCTATTTCAATTTAAGGAGACACAGCAACAAATCTTACCTCTCTGAAAAGAAATCAAATCTGAAACATGGTGGAGAAGTATGAGTCCTGACCAAGAGATTTTCTTGGAAGACATAGATTGACTTGTAGCAAATGTTATCTGAAGTAATAAAATCTTACACTTTATTTTTATAGAAAACAGACAATAAAAATCTTTCTAAATTAATGCATAGGTACTTTTGTAAAAATAACGTAAAAATGTCTGATTAACTTAGATACATAAGTTATTTAAGTTCCAAAATAAAGAATTAGAGAAGTTTATAGTTTGTCTGACTTGTATTCTTTTTGACCCATAATTAATTCCATAGATAGAATAATTTATAATGTAACTTTAATCATTACAACCTTTGATCAAAAATATACAGATATTCTTAATTTTTCTTCTCATATTTACTTAAATTATTTTTCATCGCTTTAATATTTCTTTATTCACTGGTCCCACAATAGTTCACTAAGTTTGGTATTTCTTGGTTTTGTAAAAAATTTCCCAATTCAGCTCCTGAGCACAATTAGTACTCTTCTCTCCTCTTCCTTTGTATTCTTTTTAGGTCCAACCCCATGGCTTTCCTTTTGTACTCTCTAGGCCAAGAATGTTCTTTCTTCTTCCTACCATTTAACCGTTATTCATTTCTCATGGCTGTATTAGTCCGCTTTCACACTGTCATAAAAGACTTTCCTGAGACTGGGTAATTTATAAAGGAAAAAAGGTTTAATTGACTCACAGTTCTGCATGCTGGAGAGGCCTCAGGAAACTTACCATGATAGTGGGAGGAGAAGCAGACACATCTTCTATGGTGGCAGGCAAGGGAGAAAGTAAGCATGTGAAGGAGGAACTGTCAAACACTTATAAACCCATCAGATCTCTTGAGAACTTAACTCATTATCATGAGAACAGCATGGGGGAAGCTGCTGTCATGATCCAATCACCTCCCACCAGGTTCCTTCCTTTATATGTGGGGATTACAATTCAAGACGAGATTTGGGTGGGGACACAGAGCCAAACCATATCAATGGCCAAAATAATATATATTTTTCTTTTCTCATCTATTCCTGACTATGTCCTTTCTGAATTTCTTCCATACTTTCAACCTGACCCACAAAAGGCAGAGCTTACTAATATTTCTTATCCTGTTATTTAAAAATTAATTTTGCTTGAGTTTGAGAATAATAGTCAATAGGCAGGGGACAAGCAGGCCATCAACAGCATCCTTTATTTTGGCAGAAATTATTCTGAATCAAACTTACCTTGTCATGGGTATAATTACATGATCTCAAAAAGAATTAAAAATCTCTATCACTTGAACCACAGTTTCCCTTAGCATATTTAATATACTTCATTTTTGTCAGCTAACAAATGTTAGCTAATATTTTTACCATCAAGAAGAATATCCTTTGGCAAAAGTATCTCTGTTTGCTTAGTACATATTGAGAGAGTTGGACCCCATGGCCTCCCAACTTGCTCAGGAATGGAGAAGCTAGGGTATCCAGATAGGTAATCTTCTGTTATGATACTTATATGCTGACTGTACACGGTGTCAAATCTGGGTCTTGACCTAGCAGGCACACATTAACACAACATGAAGGAAGTAAAAAGTCATTTATGAAACTACAATGGCTGCAGTAGTTATTTGGTAGTCCTCTTTTAAAAATTTCCTTTTAATTGAAATGAAAGTTTATAAGTGATCATACTGTAAATGATATGACATTTTATAATGTTTTATTACAAAAACTCAAACACTCCAGGAGTGAATTAAATGTAAATTGAAATCTTCCTCTCTCTACAATTCCACTTGCCTCATCATTTCCTCTATTCCTTAGAAATCCACCGACAATTTAATTAGAACTCAAATACTCTCACTCATAAAACACATATGTGTACTTTTTTAAAAATGAGATTATGCTAATTATGATTTGTAGTGAACTGATATTTCATTTGAAAATACATTGGATATCTTGCCGTCATTTAAAATGACTGTAAAATGTTAATTTTTACCAGTATTTTTATAAAACATATCTATTGAAAATTCAAGTCATTACCATCTTTGCATTTTTTTAAACTTGTATAATGAACAGCTTTGCAAATATTAGTTAGCACACTGCTTCAATTATTTAATAGAGATCTAATCTGAGGAGTTCAGAATTTTCAACTCTTTCTCAGGACCATTCCTTTGGAGTGATTCTGGAAATGTAGGTTATTTTTGGTTGTATCAATGATGGAGACATGGCAAGCACTTACAAGTAAAGGGTAGAGATCACATGCAGCATGCATTGGGCCAAACAGTGCATTGAGACAAACAGTCCTATATAAGGAAGAATTGCTTCTTATGAAGGCCCAATAGTACCTCTTGGAGAAACATGGCAACATGAAGTATTTCACGGTCTACTTTAAGAAATGTTGCACTATTTGTGCATTTTACAATAAATATCTATTGATCTTATAATCTGCAAAATTATAATATACTATTATTTAAAGTTCTTTTTTGTTTTGTTTTGTTTTTGTTTCTTTGTTTGTTTTTTTTGAGACAGAGTGTTGCTCTGTCACCCAGGCTGGAGTGCAGTGACACAATCTTGGCTCAATACAACCTCCATCTCCCGGGTTTGAGTGATTTCTTGTGCCTCAGTTTCACAAGTAGCTGAGACTACAGGCACATGCCACCATGCCCTGCTAATTTTTGTATTTTTGTGTTTTTAGTAGAGAAGGGGTTTCACCATATCGGCCAGGCTGGCCTTGAACCCCTGTCCTCAAGTGATCCACCCACCTCGGCCTCCCAAAGTGCTGGGATTACAGGTGTGAGCCACCATGCCTGGCCTATTATTCTAAGGATTTAATCTTCTCCCATCCCAACAGCAATGGAATTTTTCAATAAATCCAAAAAATTATTTCTTTGAAAGGACAAACAAATTAGATGACAAAAAAGAGAGAGCCTATTAAAATATAACAAGAAAAATGGAAAACTGGATAACTGAAAATTTCAAAAGAATGTAATATGTACCTTTTGGTCATTATATTTGGAAATATATATGAAGAGGTTAATTTTTTAGGGAAAATTTAACTATAAAAATAAATCTAGAGAAATGAGATCATTTGAAGATACCAACAATAGAAAAAAATGAAACCGGTGTAAAGTTATAGCACCTTTAAAAGCTCAAGGCCCAGCTGTGTCTCAAGCAGGCCCTCTTAAACTTAATGGAAAAGTTAATTCCTGCATTCTTCAAACTATTCTTTTGGTTAATGGGAGCAAAGGAAGCATATCTCTCCCTCCATTTATTTCTTAAAACAACTGAAAACCAAAAGAAAAATCAATATACAAAGAAAAAAAAACTCCACCAATTTTGTTAAAAATAAACACCATTAAAAATTATAAACCAAACTTTGAAGACTAGTTGTTAGTGTCATTACAATTTAGCCTTTCTTCAAAAAATGATGAGAGTAGTTGCAGGCACCTGAGCAAATATGGCATATTAAACACATAGAGAGACTTATTTTCCCACCTGAAACTATAACATGATGACAAATGGCTTATTCAAGTGATATAAAAAGAAAACAGCAACATTTTTGAAAACAGGAAGTCCATAAATGGCTGGTAACTGACTTAGCTTACCAAAAAGTGTAAAATTGTAAGTAGCGGGGAAATCTGATTCTACAAAATGTTCATAAATTGGTTGCACGGGATACCTCTGAAAGTAGAAGTAAAGGTAGGGCTAAAACCCAGGAAGATTGGTTGAAAGACTGTTTCCAATGTCCACTCCATCAAGCCGCATGAATGCCTCTAGGTTCTGCTGGTGGAAAAGTAGACATTTGCTGTCTAGAGAGGTAACAAGGAATCTTAGTACTGGCAATATCATCTTCAATGGTCATACATAAATTAGGGGTGCAAAACGAACAGTAACTACTGAAAGCTAGATCTCCCCAATTTTCACCTCTATCTAGATTCAAAACATAACAGTCTATTAGTCTTATATCCTCAGAGAAGACTGGAAGACTCTAGTTGGAAGATCATGATCAGCCCAAAGGAATAGACCAGTGGATATGTCATGAGGAGCTTTTCTGGGAAAACTTCTCGACCTGATTGCCCTGTCTGGAAGCCACAGTTGACAATTATTACCTAAGAACCTGAAGCTTACCGTAAACATTTATTGTATTGCTCTTGAACGCAAACAGATAACAAACAATCATGAGATTCTAGGTACAGCCAATAACAAACACAGAAACAAAAAATAAACAAAACAACTGAAAGTAAACAGAGTCTATGCAGTGTGGGAAAAAAGTAATTATTAATTTCCTCAGAGAGGGAAGATAAGATAATACAACAAGAACAAGGTGTGATATAAAATGGATATTCAAAAAAATAGAATTCTTAAAAATTAAGAAATTTATTGCAGAAATATATAACTTAATGGGAGATTTGGAAGGTAAAGCTGACTGCAACTGCAGAAAAGTTAGTGTAAACAGAGTTGGGAATGAGAAAGGGAAAGTTTAATGAATTAAATAATTGGTCCTATAGGGCCAGCAACAAAATACAGGCATTTGGGAAAAGAAAAAAGTAAAATGAAGTATGATATATGTAAATACTTTTTTGAAATGGGTAAGAGTTAAAGTGCATGAATTTCAGATTGAATGTATCCACGAGAATTCAAGCCAGTGGTGAAAATAGACCTAGACCAACGCACACACACACACACACACACACACCAGCACACTCAGGAAAAAAAAAAAGAAGAGACTTAAAATTTCCAGAGAAGAGAAATATAAATGGTCACTAGAAAACAAGCAAAGCCTTATAAATTGCAAAACAAATTATTTCTAATGCAGAATAGTATCTCCAACCAAACTAAATCAGATAGGAGGAAACAATAATAAGCATTTACAGCATGGCAAGATTCTAAAACTCTACATCCAATACATCCTATCTCAGGAATTTCTGGAGAAGAGTTTCATTGAAATGAGGAAGTAAATGAAGAAAGAGTAGGGTATAAAGTACAGGGAATCTCCTGATTATTAGATGTACAGTATGTGTACACAGCAACCTGTGTAAATTAGAGTTATTTAGAAAAAAATTTTCAAAAAGATAAATCTGATAAAATGTCTAATGCTTCTGAATGCATTATGAGACTCATTAGAAAACTGGAGTAGAGTTTGGAGTTGGTACTTTGATACATACATAGAAAAATGAAAAAAACAAAAATTTTAAAAAATTGTCAGTTTAACGGAAAAAATGTTGTGTAGACTTGAAATTCAATCATTTATGCTCCATGTTTCAGGTGTGAGTAACATTTACCTAATTATAACAGTACTAGTGTTACTGGAAAAAGAGGTCCCGATCCACACTTCAAGAGATGGTTTTTGGGCCTCACACAGGAAAGAATTCAAGGTGAGTCACAGAGTACAATGAGAAGAAGACATAGTTTATTGAAAGCTACTGCCTTTTAGAGTAGGGTGTCCTCAGAAAGCAAGCAAAGGAATGCACCCTCTTTGTTTTCAGTTTTTTTGTTATAGGAGTTTTGTCTATGTAAAGACTAAATTGAATTGTCTATGTAAAGACTAAATTGGAAACAAAATAACAGGAAGAAGGAATTTATGCATAATCTTCAAATCATGAGGAGTAAAATTCATACAGGACCTACCGCTTAAAGAGTTTCATAGTGGTTACCAGTAGTCATTTTGTGATGTTTATCGATGTGATTCTTGAATGTAAAAAGGACTACATATAAGATTTCATATTCTGAATTAATGTGCAGCATATTATGTTAAATTGTTAACCAATTTAAAAAATTTTTGAGTTTAAATTAGAAATCTTGTTGTTCTATTTATAAATCTAGTACATTAAAAATTATTTTTAAGGGGGACTTTGATTAATGTTTGGTCCATTTACAACTTAGTTAATTAAACTCCCTTAAAGATTTTAAACTACATTTACAAATTTAATATGTTGAATTATCTTTATGAACATTTTAATTATCGGACTAACAAATAAAGCCTTCAGAGTACTTAAACAACCCTTATAGAGCTAATAAATTAAACTCACAAAATCATGAATGTTAAATTATCTTCAATGTTAAACCACTACTGGCAACTCGGTAAAACCGCTTATTATTTCAACTAAAAAACAACCCCAATATCTAAAATATTCTGTTACACATTGAAAATTGGAATGTAAAATGCTAATCTATATTTAAATACTAATACAATTATAAATAAATATCACATCTCTAAAGTATAAATATTATAGTTTTCATATACTTCATCATCTCTAAACTTTTTTTCAATGTTTTCCTGGGATAAAAAAAATCATAAAAACAATTACATTCTCTTAAGCAAATGAGGTTATCACCTCAGTGAGTTGTGGCTACTTTTTCAGGTTGTTTACCTATCAGAGATTTTGACTGGAAAATGAGATCTGGAGCTTCAGATACTCAGGGTAATTGTTTGTTTTTCCCTCATTAATATGGGAACAAATTCTAACATTGTAAAAGTTATGTTAATAGAGATTCCAAGCCCATGAACTCTAAGTGAAATGGCCATGCAATCCATGTTTTCTAGATCCATGTTGCCTATATCTTTAGCCTGATTTTAATATCTAACCTCCCTACTCTGATTATTTAGGTACTAGATTAAATTCAAAAATCTATTTACTGTATGATTCTTGACAGAGTTCTTTTTATATTTTTCATACCTGGTGAAGTCATAACTTTTCTAGATATTTAAATGGCATACACATGTATTATTTAATCTCATGTATATATCTGATTCTGTGGTCACATTTCCCAAAGCCAGATAAATGACTGTAGCCAGACAGATGTAGGGCTAGGTGTAAAAGGAGATATTCCCACAGATTATATAGTTGCTGTGTAGAGAAAACTCTCTCTGTTTTTCCTCTAGTCTCACGCCACAAAGATCAATCAGCAACAGAAAAGACTTCTGTGACCAAATGTGTGGGTTTTTTCCTCCATACATACACCAAGGAGTGGACACCAGCTGAGTGTCCTCTAATTCAGTTCTGACACTACACTATCTACCTGGAGATAGTGTCAGGTCTCACATGTCAGTCCCCAAGACTGCCCACCCTCAAACTACCAGCCAGAAGTCCAGGCCTCTGAACTTCTGACCTGCTGGCTTCGAGTTGGCTTCTCAGGACCCCCTCTTTGTGTTTGATTAATTTGTTGGAGTGGCTCACGGAACTCAGGGAAACACTTACATTTCCTGGTGTTTTATAAAGGACATTGCAAAGGATATAGATGAAGGACACTTAGAGCAATTCATAGGGGAAGGGAGCAGAGCTTCCATGCCATCCCTGGGTGGGCCACCCTACAGGAACATCCATGTGTTCAACTACCCAGAAGCTCACTGAACACTGTCCTCCTGGATTTTTATGGAAGTTTCATGATATCAGCATTCCTCCCTCCAGGGTATAGGGTGGGACTCTCTCTTGAGATGGTCTTAAGACCCACAACCAGAAAGGCAGGAACATAAAAATGAAAAAAGGCCATGAGAAGGTGAGAGGCCTGCTCCTGAGGCCTAATACACCCAATATTATAACAAAAGACTGTAACAAGTGCTAGGGGAGTTATAAGCCAGGAACTGTGGATGAAAACCAATATATATCATAACACCACAGTTGCTGAGAAAATATTCATGGAAAATAGACCTAAATTGATACTGCCTATTGACATAATTTACTTTACTGATCTTTTCCTTCACCATTTTAATAAATAGCTCAGAAAATAATGAGTCCCATTCAAAGATAATAATAGAAAAGATACCAGCACTGTGCCTGTGTAACATATATTTCATGTTAGAGAAAAGCAACAAAGACAATATAATATTAAAAGACAGAAAAAAATTACATGCCACATTGACTATCATTGAATCACAAAGTGAATACAAATTTTTAATGCATTGTTTCATTAAATCAAACTCCCCTTCCTGCACCAATACAACTCCTCTGATGTAAGTGACCTAAAAAGACATAAATAGGTTTTAAAGCAGATATAAGATAAATGCAATATATGTAGTGTGAGCTTAGGGAAAGATAAAAGGGAAAATATCTTTTATCTGAGAAATATATACCACACGAGAAACAGCAGAAATGAAGAATAGATATTTTCAAAATTTACTCAAATAAATGGTGTATAACAGTTTACACCATTGTAAATTGTAGAACAATTTACAATGTAGAACAATATTTATATTGTTCTAGGTATTACAAAATTTATAGTTGTTTGGGTAGAACAATATTTATAGTTGTTTGAAGGCAGACAAAGATGACCTAACATGTTGCCATGTATATTTTTTCCAGTTTTCCAAATTTGTTTTTATTGCTGGAAGGTTAGTTTGGTCAGAGTTATTTCACCATATCAGCAAGTATAATTTTCCAAACTCACACCCCTTACTTTTTGTATCTTATTTTTTATCCTTTTATTACATATTTTATAATATATATTCAATACTGAATTATACAGTAAATAAAAAATAAAATATGAACACAACAATTTCATACAAACGGTGAGTTTTTTTTTTTTAGTTGAAGCAGAAGTTCATGACTTGAAAATAGAATGATGCAGTAAAGAAATAAACTCTAGAACTCATTTTATGGAAAAAGTGAAAACAATTTGCAACATTAAAATAATTAATCAGAACTTCAATCCAGATTAAGAAGGAATAGAGAACAAATATTAAAATTGGAAGGCAATGAAAATATAATCACAGATATTGATCAAGTTATTAGATAAGATAATTTTCTTAATTTTACACAAATATATTGGAAACCCTGGATTATACGATATTTCCATATGAAAATATAAGTGACCAAAATGACAAGAGTTATAAAATCTCAGTATCTTATTAATGAAGAAAAAGATGTTGAAGATATAAAATTCTGAACATTCTCCTCTCAACAAACAGACAAATCAGCAAGCATGAACATTTTCAAGAAGAAATGTATCAAGACATGAAAGTACTGATAACTCAATGCTATTTAAAGTTTTCCTCTTCTAATTCTAGCTATGACAAGTTAATTTGTATCAGGCCATCCCACCTGGCAAGAACAATTATGAAAGCTGGGTAAAATTAATTAAAAATAAGTAGCTATTTAAAGGCTTCTGATAGCAATCAAAGCATCCAGAACTTGAGTGTGTAAGCTCCCAGAAAGAAGAGAAACACATTGAAGTGATTTCAACATTCTCCACAGCCTTTCATTTGGATACATTTGCTGAGCAGATAGCTAAGAAGAAAACGGTAGCTCAGAGATGTTAGAAATCTGGTAGGCCTGCATAGACAACAATTGGAATTCATGACTATCATGGTGGCCAGGGCTTGATAAAGGGCCGGTAGAAACAATGCAATTTCATTTTGTTTTTCCTTCACAGCATTTTCTGATTATTTAGCTGCAGAAGGTGAGCAACTAAGAAGCTTAGCATAAAATGGAGCTACCTGACTAAAAGGAAGTTAAGCAGACCTCTCAGCAAAAGAATAGACAAAATTGGAGGTCAGCAAGGAACAGAGGACCTAGAAATCTCCCTAGGCATTGGGACCCCTAAAAAGCTAATCCCTACCTGAAAAGGCAAACTAGAAATTCACCAGCTGCCACAAAGACTGAAATCTAGCCTCAAGGCATTTCAGTCTGATTGGACCAAGATGATCTACCTCTAAGCCAGAAGAAAACTACAATTTCTTTGGAGGAAGATCCCATCTAAAGACTTTTTCTCTTAGGTCAATATCTGGCTTTTGATCATAAATAACCAGGCGTATCAGTCAGCAGGGCTAAATGATGCATGCACGCACATGCGCGTGCACACACAAACAGAGCGAGAGTGACAGTGAGAGGGAGAGGAGAAATCTATAACTTTAAATGTTCCCATGTACAGAAAATAAAAATACTTCCAAATATATTTATGAATAAATATTGTATTTATACTAAACTTGACCAAAGCTGAACATATGTGTTCTCTTCCCATCCCTTTCCCTTTGTCCCTCTCATATACACTACACACAATAAAATACAGGCCTATTCCACTAATAAATATTACTGCAAATATTCTATAGCTGTACTTTACAATTAAAAGTTGCAATCCCATTAAAATCATACTTCATAATCAAGTAGTGTTCATGTTAGTAAGCAAGAATGGATGACTATTAGGAAATAGTTTACTATAATTTATCATGTTAATAGAAAAACAATAATCTCCAGAAACTTCAACATATATTACCAATTAAATAATATGAATAGAATAGTATTATAATGAGATCGATGTAATTTAACCCAAAATTCAGAATTTATGTGATGGTGTTTGGGTACAGGGCCTTTGGGAAGTAACAAAGTTTAGATGACGTCATGAGGGCAGGGTTCTCATGATGGAATTAGTTCCCTTATAACATAGACACCAGAGAGCTTGCTCTCTTTCCCTGCAATGTGAGGACAGAGTGAGAGAACTTGACTGTCTGCAAGAGAACGCTCACCAGATAGCAAACATTCACAGGTCCTGATCTTGGACTTTCCAGCCTCCAGATGTGTAAGAAAATACATTTCTGTTTAAACCACTCAGTCTGTGGTATTTTGTGATGGCAGTTCGAGCAGACTAAGACAAATAATGACACCATTCATGATTGTTCCCATCTACCAGTCACCAAAACAAGTTCTAACAAGATTAAAAAATAAATTCCCCCAAAACGTAAACTTAAAGCCTAAAAATTAGAACAAATTGTAAATAAATATGAAAAATATAACTGGAGGCAATCAAAAATATATATATCCTAAGGAGATTGTTAAAGCTATATGAAAAATGTATGCTACAAATCTCATTGGAGCACTATTCATAAATCTAAATAATTGTAAATAATAACTGGGCTATGGTTATGTTGATTATGGTAAATCTATATATGTTAACATAATGTGGTAATTTGTAAATGTTTATAAAGCATTCTTGTATATTAGCAAAACAATTTGAAGTGTCAAATTAAAAATCCTGAATACAAAATTACATGTAAGTTATAATTCCAAGTATGTTTGAAAAATTGCATACCAAAATAATGGAAGTAAATGCAACAAACTATTCATAGTAGAATTTTATTTTACAGCAACTCAAAATAATGAAACAAATCCTCTGGCTTACAACTTTCAACTAGGTATTGTGATTTTCTTACTATTCCATTCAGCAGGATATAGGTAGCATGGTTGTATTCTCAGTTTGTCAGTGTTCTCCTGGCATCATTATTAATAGTGTCCCTATCACTTTCACAAGTTTCCTAGTTTGCAGAATAAATTATATGGTTATCTGAGATATGGGAAACCTAATTTTCTTCCTTCTTCCCCAGTAATAATCTATACAATTCTGGACAACTCACCTATCCATAAAACAATTTGATCCGTACCTTAAAATAGATATATCTCTGCTAGTTAATTTCATAGAAATATTGTAAGGATTAATGAGGAGATGCTTGGAAAACACTTTCAGCTCATCAGAGAAAAGTGCTATGATATTGCCACTAATAAATTTATTTACTAGCTTGCTGAGTAGAAAGTCAAGGGAAATCAAGATTTTGTAGGTATCAGCAACAAAACCAAATCAATCATCCATGTTCTGGCAGCCTATTTTATATAAGTTCCCCAGAGTACAGTAGCTAGTGAACATAGAACTTCTCCAAAGAAAAAAAAATATATATATATATGAACATAAAACTTCTCCATATATATGTATATATATATATATATATATATATATATAAAATTAGAAAAATTAGAGACACATAGGCTAAATTTTGACTCTATATAGGCTATTCAGTTAGCAGTTATGAGTAAATGTATTGAACTTCTCTTTCTTAGTGAAAATATTATGTTAGTTCAAGCACTGACCATATGGAATGTTTGGAAGTTGAACAAAGACTGTTCATTAAGCTTGAAAGGGACAGATCTGAGCCAGCCTGCACTTTGTAACTGGCAGTCAGGCCTCAAAATCAAGCCTATTATTTTAGTAGGCCAATTAAGTTTTTTAGAAACTCAGTGGAAAGGTGGCATCTTCACACATTTTCAGCACCTTATAAATTAGGTACTTTTGCCTGGTACTAAAATATCCTTCTTGAACTAAAAAATCAAAATCAATAAATCAATCTACTTCTCAGGCAACAAAGAAGCAGATGAAAGGCAACAACGGGGCAGATTAAACTTGTAGCAATGAATCCGAAATACACAGGAGCCTTAGTTTGATTAAGATGACAAAAAACACCTGGAGGAAGGGCACTCAAGTCTGGCTCATGGTCTCTTTGTTCTTCCTAAAATCTACATCCCTTGCATCAACTACAGTACTATAGTCGATAATTTGAAGTTGAAGCATAATATCTTATTTTTTTCTGACATTGCAAGTATATAACAGATCACAAAGTTTTTTTTTTCTTTTTTTTGAGATGGAGTCTCGCTCTGTCACCCAGGCTGGATGCAGTGGCACGATCGTCACTGCAAGCTCCGCCTCCTGGCTTCACACCATTCTCCTGCCTCAGCCTCCCGAGTAGTTGGGACTACAGGCGCCCGCCACCACGCCCGGCTAATTTTTTCTATTTTTCAGTACAGACGGGGTTTCACCGTGTTAGCCAGGATGGTCGCGATCTCCTGACCTCCATCACAAAGTTGATTTTCTTTTCACTTGTCAAGTTCTTACACTGTCTATCTAAAATTCATATCTTGACCTTTCATGTCTGTCTTCAATAACAAATCATCTCTCTTCCCACTCTCTATCAATTTGATCTCTTTCTCTTTGCTTTGTTCTCGAGGAGAGAAAGGTGTATCTGTATTCTTTTCTTCTTTGTCCGAATTAAACAGCTGTTCTTGGAGAGTGGTGAGCAGTTCTTTATGCAAAGGAGAACTAGTTACTTATTTTTGTACCATTTACAAAAAAAGTAAGAAAATGCTGAAAACCAGTATCTTAAAATATTCATTTTATTTAATTTTGTTTTAATTGGGGCACAGATATAAGGGAATATTTTTAGTTGAATAAGGAATAAAAATATTTGGTTATAAATCCTCAAGAATATTTATATCTTAAAATTGTTTTTATATTTCTGTTTCTATGACATTCAAATGGGAAAATTTTTTTCTAGAATTTAGAGAGATTTACAAATAATTGCATAAATATGTCTAGAAATTGAAAAATTAAAAGAAAAATACAACAATGAGAAAGTGTATTGAACTTGAAGAATACCCTAATTGTGAAAACCAAACTTTCATAATATTATTTTAATGTTTTCTGATTTGCATTTTGGGAATTCTTGCCTTCACTGTATTTTTTTCCTTAGATTTTCTCTACATACTGTTCACAAAATTCAGTTAAAAACTATTTTAGAGATTTTCTAGGGAAAAGGCTGCATGCTCAGTCATTGACTGTTACTTACATTGGTACAATTAGGGGTATTAAATTTGAGTTCATTGGATTTATGCTTCTCCCCACACAGGCTGACTATTGGTAGCTGTTGCTGCTTGGAATACATATTGGCTTAATTAATCAGTACTATTTAGAATTCTGTGAGAATGCAAACTAATTATGAACTTTCCCTGATAAGAGACAATTTTGGCTCCTGATTATTTGCTTTTCCCTACATTTATATAACAGCAATCTCATGAAATCAAGCATTAGACCAGCATGTTATTGATTTGTGCATGAGGCAATTTGCACCTCTGAATTTCTTTCCTTTCTGATATCCTCAGATGCAAAATCTTGAAAAAGAGCATGCAGTCAGACCTTTATTTGATTGTTTGATAATTGTTTTTCCTCTCTGTTTCCATTAGCATTATTTGTGGAAGATCATAGCAGTGGGAGTTTTTGTCACAGAAATCTTGTGACCTTTGTGTTTGGTAGCTATAGACTGCGATGAGTTTATCTCTTCATAGAGGAAATTGAGAAGAGATTACAGCTACCCACTACCCACACTCTGGTTTTCTTTATGAAGCTTCTGCATAAATCACAACTACATAGCTTCAATGACGGACCTAACTCTTGCTTGGAAGTGTGGCAGCAGAGTTGATGGTCATGGATTTAAGCTACAGTCTCATCACTAGTTTATTTACAGTAAACACTCTGGGGGTGACTTTTAGTGCTAGGTTCTGTGCTAGACTCTGGTGTTGAAATATGTATCAGCTATGGCCTCAGATCTCAAGGCATTAGTTGTGTTTGTTTGTATTGTGTGTTTTGAGGGAGGTGTTAGGTTTTGGTTGAAAGAACAAGGAAGGGGAGCAAGATTTGAGGAGAAAACAAACATGCACACGTACGTGGTTTCATTGAATAATCTGCACTTCTGAATTGTCAATACATCAATCTGATTCAGTCATAATTGAATTAGAATCATCCTGAGCGCCGGTGGAAAACATTGAATATTTTTTTTCACACTGAAGCCAGAACTCTTGGGTACCATAACCCAGCAATATTGTTTGCTGGCTGTCACTTAAACTCCCAAAACACCTCTGTTTTATCATCTATAATAAATACAGGTACAATATTCTGTTTTTTATATATGTATATATCTTGCAAAATTATTGAGATGATGAAAAACGAAATGTAATACACACTGAATAATGCATAGTAGATGGTAAGCACTAAATAAATGGCTATGTAACCAGTGATTCCTGTCTTTGTTATCTTCATTATTAAAATTTCTACATAGGTTTTATTTCAGGGATTTTTAGAGTAATGACTTTGCTTATTTTATAAAAATACTTCATGCCAAAGAGTACAAAGAAAACAAAATAAATCAACCCAAATTTTTAGAAACAACCAATGTTAACTGTTGGTGGAATTCATTTGGGTGATTTTTTTTGTTTCTTCTTTGCACTTTTTGGTATTTTTCAAGTTTAAAAGGAATAAGTAGATACAATTATTATAATAGCTGTAAAATAGTTATATGTGTTTCAAATTTCATACTCCAAAAAGTTTGGATATAGATGGAAGATAACATAACTATATGTATAGTGAGAGAGAGAGAGCTAGCAGAATAGATAAAACATAATTTTATAATAAAAGAATACTATATCTGCTTTTTTAATTGGAAGTATTAAATTTATCTATGTAACTGCATTATTTCCTAAAAGGTCACATTTTAAAAAAATTTTAAAAAACATTAGAAGATTGAGTCATTATAATTTATTTCTTAAATTTTAATTATATGTATATCTATGAATAATTTATGCATAAACATATATATTTAATGTCAAACCTTAGGAAAATGTATACACCTTAAGGAATTATCACAAAACAAATACCTCCACAACTACCACTCAGAATAACATGTTTTTTTTGCAAAATAGATTACTACTCCTTCATTTGTCTTCAAAGATACCCACTATTTGGAGTTTACTTTTCTTAATGTTTTGATATTTATATACCCACTCTGTTGTAGGCCAATAATGCCTCTGAAATGCATGTCCATGTCTTAATCCATGGAGCCTGACCTTATTTGAAGTAGGGCATTTGCAGATGTATTTAAGACATTTGAGGCTGGGCACAGTGGCTCATGTCTGTAATCCCAGCACTTTGAAAGGCCGAGGCAGGTGGATTCACCTGAGGTCAGGAGTTCGAGACCAGCCTGGCCAACATGGTCAAAAGCCCGTATCTACCAAAAATACAAAAGTTGGCTGGGTGTGGTGGTGGCGGCGCCTGTAATCCCAGCTGCTCGAGAGCCTGAGGCAGGGAGAATCACTTGAACATAGGAGGCAGAGGTTGCAGTAAGCCAAGATCGCGCCACTGCACTCCAGCCTGGGTGGCAGAGCAAGACTCTGTCTCAAACAAACAAAAAAAAAAAAAAAAAAAAAAAGAAGAAGAAAGAAAAAAGAAATTTGAGAGGAGAACATCCTGGGTTATCTGAGTGAGCCCTAAATGCCATCACAAGTGTCCTTGTAAAAAGGAGACAAAGGGAGCAGAAGGCAATGGGACAATAGAGACGGAGAAGTTTGAAGATGCTGTGATGCTGGCTTTGAAAATAGAGGAAGGCCCACAGGATGGAAGAAGCCATGAATGAATTATCTTTTGGAGTCTCCATTGAGAATATAGCCCTTCTGCCATCTTGACTTTAGGTCAGTGAAACGAAATGTTGTACTTCTGTTCTCTCTAACTGAGAGAGAATAAATTTACCTTGTTTAAAATCACTAAGTTTGTGATAAGTTGTTACAACAGCCCCAGGAAACAAGTACACACTCATTTATTTTCTTTTATTGCTTAACATTATGCATTGTGAGACTGACCTATGTTGTTACATGTAGTTCTAACTTGTTCATTTTCATTGCTGAATAATAGTCAATAGGCAATTTTAAAAATTCATCTTTTTTTAAACAAATAATGCTGCTATGAACATCCTTGTTTGTATCTTGTGGTATAAATATGTAAGTGGGTAGCTGCATCCATTTACTTTTTCTCCAACAGTCTATGAGAATTTCCCTTGTTCTCTATCTTCATTTGTAATCGGTATTGTTAGTCTTTTAATGTTAGACAAACTAGTATGTGTAGAATGGTATGTCATTACAGTTTTAATTTAAATTTCTCTAACAAATAATGAGCCATTTTTATCAGGACTGAGCCTAGGGTGAAGCAAGAGAGGCATCTAGGGTATACAATTTAAGGACGTGTTTAATCCCTTTCCTTTCTGTCCTTGTTTGTGATGAATTATTTCTACTTTATCAGACAAAAAGTGTAATAGGTATACAATTGATTTTTGCTTTTTGTGCATTTGTTATAAGTCCAGTCACCTTACCAAACTGGCTTTTATTTCTAATTGTTTGTAGATAATTTTTGACATTTGTACATAGCCATGCCATCTCCAAAATAGCATTTACCTTTCCTTTTCAATATTTACAAATTTAATTTATTTTAATTGCCTTATCACACTAGCTGGGGCCACTATAAATCTTTTATACTTGTTTTGATGTCTATAGAAACTGTAGTGATGTCCTCTCTTTATTAATTTCTCACACTGGTAATTTCTGGTCTCTCTTTCTGGCTCACTGTTTATCTTTCTGTCACTCTTTTCCCCTCTTTCCCCGTGTGTATGTATGTATGTGTGAGTGTGTGTCTGTATAAAAGAATTTAAATATACGGATAGTCCTTGACTTAATGATGGTTTGACTTACAATTTTTCAACTTTACAATACTGCAAAACAATCACAATTTCAACATAATGTACCATATTCAATACACTACATGAGAGATTCAACACTTTCTGATAAAGTAGGCTTTCTGTTAGATAATTTTGCCCAACTGTAAGCTAATGTTAGTGCACTGAGCATGTTTAAGGTAGGCTAGGCTAAGCGATGATGTTTGGCAGGTTGGGTATATTAAATGCATTTTCTACTTATGATATTTTCAATTATATTGGGCTTACCAGGATGTAACCCTATCATAAGTTGAGGAACAACTGTACTACAATTATACAATTATAAAGAGATTCATTATTTTTTTCTAGGCAAAACTTTTTTTTGTTGTTGATTTTTCTCTTATATGTCTGCTGTATTTGTCAGTTTTCAAATTACTGTAAATATACTACCTGAGACTGGATAATTTATAAATAAAAATGATTTACTTGATTCACAGTTCTGCATGGCTGGGGAGGCCTCAGGAAACATACAACCATGACAGAAGGTAAAAGAGAAGCAAGGCACATCTTACATGGCAGCAGGAGAGAGAGCAGGAAAAACTGCCACTTTTTTTTTTTTTTTTTTTTTTTGAGACAGAGTCTTGCTGTGTAGCCCAGACTGGAGTGCAGTGGTGTGATCTCAGCTCACTTCAACCTCCGCCTGCCAGGTTCAAGTGATTCCCCTGTCTCAGCCTCATGAGTAGTTGAGATTACAGTCATGTGCCACTATACCCAGCTAATTTTTTTGTATTTTTAGTAGAGATGGAGTTTTGCCATGTTGGCCAGCTGGTTTTGAATTCCTGATC